>NC_000002.12:22964300-23115815 GCF_000001405.40 Homo sapiens | reverse complement strand
AAGCTAGTTGCCTGTCATAAATTCCATGACCTTGCATCAGCACCATTGGCTTGCCCTGAAGGACACCACTGGCTTGGACTGAAGGCAGCACGGGAAAGCAAGGGTGGCAGAGGCAGAAAATACCAGTGAGTCCTCTGTGAACAGCGCACAGGTCTTTGCCTCCTCACTCGGATTGGTTTGCCTTCCTATTTTATCATCATCAGAAAATATGAATTGAGGGTGTAGTGTGTGTATTTGCAGGCAGAATTAATGAAATACAAATTTTAATCTTTGACTTTTATTTGTACATATTTTAATTCTTTCATTTCACAAACCATTATTGAAAACCTACATTGCACTAAAGGTTAATACAACATAGTTCTTGCCTTAAGTAATCTATAATTTATTTAAGAAAACAGGAAAATATCTAAAATACAAGGGTACATTATGAGTGTATGATGGGATAAAATTCATGAGACCTGCATGTTCACAGACATTCCCCTTTCCCCAGAACTCAAGAGGATCTCTACCTCAATGGGCACAGTGATATGGTCTCTACCAGAATCCCCCACCCTGCCCCTGAAGTAAAGGAAGAAAGCAAGGCTCCGGCTGGGTGATGAAGAGTTTTCTAGGGAGGAGTTAAAGAGTGTGCTGCTGGAGTATATTTGGGATTGGAAGGAAGTTGAAAAGAGAGTTTTCATAAATATTACTGTAAACTATGCATTTGATACATAGAAACATTTTGATGCCCCTTTCTTACCTTATGTTGTCTTCAGAGAGCCAGAGTTGGCCCAAGGCATGCAGTGATGGTGTGACCTTCTTACCTTCCTTGGAAGTGTCATATCTTCTGACTAAAGATAGCCCCCTCTTTGCATGTCTCCAGCCGCAGCCCTGGCTGTAAGAATCCTTGTACCCTGTTTTCACTCATAGGAAGTTTCAAGTCCTCACATCTAGGGCTATTTTCTAAGGGACAAAAATAGAATTGCAGAGTCACATAAATGAATAAAATATTTATGATGAACCTGGGAAGTTAGTTTAATCACATCTATCTCTTTCCTCTCGTGTATTAATTAATCCTAATAAATACCCCTAACTCTTTTTCCCCTACCACATCAATATTGCTTGGAAAATGCATGTATGTGGAGGGGCTGCTTCAGGATCATCTGAAATGAATAAGCCCTAAATATTTCAGATGGAGTCATGGGTACAGCAGCTCCATCATCAGAAAATACAATTATGATGATTTCATGATCAAGATCCATTTTTATGTACTTGAAAACTGCCTGAGCTCACTCTATTTGGTCACTGAGACCTCCTCTGCTATTACTGAAATCCAGCAGGATGAGTCAGACTTGAATCCATCAGAATGGAACTCTAAGCTCTACCATCAGCACCTCCTAAGTCATTACCAAATTGTGTGGCTATTTCATGCTATAGGTTGAGGATGCAATGGGGAAAGGTGTTGGATATTATGACGCCCTTTCACAGCTCTGGCAACTAGGATAAATCTTTTTCTGTAGTTAGAAAATGGGTTTCACCCCAAAGATAAAGAAAATCAACACCAACAAAATCTATTTACCACTGAGATGAGCTGCTACATCTTTGTATTTTCTTCTCATTTAGTCTAATCAAATTTCCCATGATTGCCAGGTATTACTGATGTAGTTTCCTTATGGAGAGATGGTATTTTCCTCTGATGATTTAACTCTTGTTCCAAATGAAACATAATTTCTGACATCTATTTCTAAGGAAAAAATAATTCAGGAGGCAAATATGAATAGTGATGGGAAAATCTTGGGGAGACAGTAATATGGTCCCTTACTTCTGATTTCTCCAAGTATGGTGGAGAGGTGTGGGGGTGTGGGAGGGCAAGCTGTGCATCTATTGTAGCACAGTCAGACACATGCAGGCATGGAGTGGATGACGGCAGAAGCAACAGAAGAGAGAAGCAGGGCGAGAACACACAGGACTTTCTATGCCAGTAGTTCTCAACCCAGTCTACTCATGCAAACCTCCTGGGGAGATTTTTAAAAATACCATTGTCCTACTTCAGGACGATGTATTTTTTTTAAATAATTTATGCCTTTGAGTGAATTAATTCAATTAGATTGTTTTCCTTCTCAACTCTAGTCGAGACCATGGAATAAATGAAAGTTTTGTTTGGGGGAGTAAATTAACCTTGGAGCATGGATTAATTAATTAATTAGGCAACCACTTGTGTGTTATTTTTCCCAGCATTGTGCTAGAATGAGGAGCTAAGAAAGTCCTTGCCTCATACCATGAAGAGCTCAGTCACTGGGGTTGGGGGAGAGGGCTGTATGCAGGTAAACAGATGTTTTACAATATATACTACCCTGGCATCAAAAAGTTCCAAATGTTGTCTTTTACTTTCACACCTTTGGCCCTTATGATGACCCTTAGACCCTAACCATCACCCTTGGGTCTTGCAGTGCTGTGTTTTCTGGGCGAGTATTGGGTGGAGCAAGGCAAGCAAGGGTCTTTCCTGGGATGGTGTGCTCTGAAAGGGTGATATGGCCAATCCAAGGAACCTGATAGATGCAGCACCAAGATTTGGCATCAAAGAGACTGGAAGAGGAGCAGAACTGGTGAACCAGTGAGTGGGATGACTGTCACTGGCAGGCTAAAGGGAGCCCGGAGATGTCCTGGGAGGGTTGCTTTTTTATGGTTTCTCCTAACTGCCTAACAGCTGACATGGACTTGTCAGATACATTTAAAGGGCTAAAATACAACAGGTGTATAACATTCTTTCTTTTAAAAAAAGCATTCTGAGTTAATAAAGAAAGCAAAGTGGGAACCAAACATACTCGGATTCATAGAGAAATTGTGGCTTTGTTGATATTTTTTTTGCTCCATCAAGTAAACAGAATGATGAGGTACCAACATGATATGATTATTTGACTTTTCTGCTTATAGGCTAGGAAAAGAGAATTTTTATTATTTCATTTGTCGCTGAAAATATTTCAAGAAATTCTAATCTACTTTTATGCCTTGGTAATGGAGTATAGTGGAGATAGTGAAATATTTGTTTCCCTGAACCTCAATGGCTTCACGTTTTAATGTTTTAATCACACGGGTCTTTTTGTTATTTACTAATTACGTCATATATGAAACTTACCTCCCCAAGGAGTCTGTGAACTCTTAGGGAAGCAGAATGTATTTCCTACATCTTGGCCTCCCCTACAAAGCCTAGCCCATTGGCTTGGACATTAGCAGTGATCTATAAAGAACCGTGAACCAGACTAGAATGGCCGAGGAACACAAATTCTTGGGCTGTTTTAATTTTCTGATAAGTGAGGTGCCATGGATGCTTGCCTCATAAGGGTTGGTGATCAAGAAAAGAGACTGGAGCTAATGGAGCTGGAGGCTATTATCCTCAGCAAACCAATGCAGAAACAGAAAACCAAACACCGCGTGTTCTCACTTATAAGTGGGAGGTGAGCAATGAGAACACATGGACACAGGGAGGGGAACAACACACACTGGGGCCTCTCAGGGGGTGGGGTTGGGGGAAGGGGAACACCAGGAAGAGTAGCTAATGCATACTGGGCTTAATATCTAGGTAATGGATTAATAGGTGCAGCAAACCACCATGGCACATGTTTACCTATGTAACTAACCTGCACATCCTGTACAGGTATTCCAGAACTTAAAAATTAAAAAAGTAGAAATGGCAACACATTAAAAATGTAAATTCCTTGTCAAGGCATAAGGAGAGCCTCTGAAAGTGAGTCTATTAGCTGATTAGATGTGTGCCTCCCTCCCCTGTGAATGCTAGTCTCTGAAGTCTGAAGAGAAAGGGCCACCTGAGTGCTCCTTTATTTGATGGAGGCATATTGCCATTTTTGGAGACCAGTCATCATGCAGTTATGACCCAGGTGGCTCACTTGCTGTGTGGGGAGAGGTTCAGTTGCTCCTTTTCCCTCACTGCCTGGTGCGTACCCATGGTGGCAAAAGTTGGATTTGATAGCTAAGTCTAGACTTGGGAATCTGGGAGAGGGGAAGGGATTGGGAAGGGGAAAGATTTCTTGTGTAGGAAATATTTTTTTAAAACATAAACTAACTATTTTGGCTAAATATTCTTTTCCTGCTGAAGGGAGACAGGACTAGTATCAATGATTTTAGAACTAATCCATATCACAGGCCATATTTTGCAGGGCCCATGAAGGGCAAATTATGTGTGGGCTATACCACACACTCACATCCTCCCACAACACATGCACACTTTCTCTCTAGAGTGAGTATGGCTGACTTATCTTTGGGGCATAGGCAAGAATCATACTGTGGTTTGGCCTTCACTAATCTGTTTGCCTTTCCCTGAAAGAAGGTTTTAGCTGTTCAATTTACTTTTGCTTACTTGCAATGTTGTGTTTGAACTTTGCTTGCATGCCCAGAGGGTGGAAGGCTGTGGAAAACGTGTGCCTTCTAACTAAATCCAAAAGCAAAATCGTATCAACTAGGCCCTGGACAGCTAGGGGCCACCTTTCACTCCAAGAAGCAAGTTAGGGTGGAAAGGAAAGCTCTTTCCAACCTTGAAAAAATGGGAAAAAATGTTTACAAGTGAAAACTAATAAGGCAAAAATCTTGTATCCAAAAGTATGAGAAAAATTCTAGCAGGATATTATAAGAAAATTTACTTTTGTATTAGTTCCATTTCATATTATTGTGTATCCCTCATAGCATTGACTCCTACTTTTAGTTTTTGTTAAATAAAGACTATGCTTTATTCCCATCTCATGTATGTGATGTAAATTAGGGTTTTTGGCACAAGACAAGGATGCCCTCTCTCACCACTCCTATTCAATATAGTATCGGAAGTTCTGGCCAGGGCAATCAGGCAAGAGAAAGAAATAAAGGGTATTCAAATATGAAGAAAGGAACTCAAATTGTCTCTGTTTGCAGATGACATGATCCTATGTTTAGAAAACCCCATCATCTCAGCCCAAAAGCTTCTTAAGTTGATAAGAAACTTCAGCAAAGTCTCAGGTTACAAAATCAATGTGCAAAAATCACAAGCATTCCTATACACTAACAACAGACAAGAGAGAGCCAAATCATGAATGAGTTCCCACTCACAATTGCTACAAAAAGAATAAAATACCTAGGAATACAGCTAACAAGGGAAGTGAAGGACCTCTTCAAGGAGAACTACAAACCACTGCTCAAGGAAATCTGAGAGGACACAAACAAATGGAAAAAACATTCCATGCTCATGGATAGGAAGAATGAAAATGGCCATACTACCCAAAGTAATTTATAGATTCAATGCTATTCCCATTAAACTACCATTGACATTCTTCACAGAATTAGAAAAAACTATTTGAAAATTCATATGGAACCAAAAGAGAGTCTGAGTAGCCAAGACAATCCTAAGCAAAAAGAACAAAGCTGGAGGCATCATGCTACCTGACTTCAAACTATACTACAAAGCTACAGTAACCAAAACAGCATGGTACTGGTACAAAAACAGACATATAGACCAATGGAACAGAGTAGAGAAGCCAGAAATAAGACCGCACATCTACAGCCATCTGATCTTCAACAAACCTGAAAAAAGCAATGGGGAAAGTATTCCCTATTTAATAAATGGTGTGAGGAGAACTGGCTAGCCATATGCAGAAAATTGAAACTGGACCCCTTCCTTACACCTTATACAAATATTAACTCAAGATGGATTAATGACTTAAATGTAAAACCCAAAACTATAAAAACCCCAGAAGAAAATCTAAGCATTACCATTCAGGACCTAGGCACAGGCAAAGATTTCATGACAAAAACATCAAAAGCAATTGCAACAGAAGCAAAAATTGACAAATGGGATCTAACTAAATTAAAGAGCTACTACGCAGAAATAGAAACTATCAACAGAGCAAACAGACAACCTACGAATCAGAGAAAATTTTTGCAGTCCATCTATCTGACAAAGGTCTAATATTCAGAGTCTACAAGGAACTTAAAGAAATTTACAAGAAACAAACAACCCCATTAAAAAGTGGGCAAAGGAAATGAACAGACACTTCTCAAAAGAAGACATTTATGCGACCAACAAGCATATGAAAAAAGCTCAACATCACTGGTCATTAGAGAAATGCAAATGAAAACCACATTGAGATATCATCTCACACCAGTTAGAACGGTGATTATTAAAAAGTCAAGAAACAACAGATGCTGGTGAGGCTGCAGAAAAATAGGAACACTTTTATACTGTTGGTGGGAATATAAATTAGTTTAACCATTGTGGCAGACAGTGTGGTGATTCCTCAAGGATCTAGAACAAGAAATACCATTTGACCCAGCAATCCCACTACTGGGTATATAAATCATTCTACTTCTGTCCAAAGGAATAGAAATCATTCTACTGTAAAGATACATGCATGTGTATGTTCACTGCAGCACTATTTGCAATAGCAAAGACATGGAATCAACCCAAATGCCCATCATTGATAGACTGGATAAAGAAAATGTGCTACATATACACCATGGAATACTATGCAGCCATAAAAAGAGATCATGTCCTATTCAGGCACATGGAAGGAGCTGGAAGCCATGATCCTCAGCAAATTAACATAGGAACAGAAAACCAAACACAGCATGTTCTCACTTATAAGTGGGAGCTGAACAATGTGAACACATAGACCCAGGGAGGGGAACAATGCACACTAAGGCCTGTCAAGGGGGGCAAGAGGAGGGAGAGCATCAGGAAAAATAGCTAATGCATACTGGGCTTAATTCCTTGGTGATGTGTTGATCTGTGCAGAAAATCACCATGGCACACCTTTACCTATATAACAAACCTGCACATCCTACACATGTACCCTGGAACTTAAAATAAAAATAAATAAGTAAATTGGTGTTTTCAATCATATTAAATGGAAATTTATTGTAAAAGGAAAGGGGCCATCAAGATAATCTATTAGGAACATTCAAAAGAGTTGGCTCTTCTTTCTTAATAGGAGTGCTTATAGAATAGCTTTCCAGGTTAATAAAAAAGTTATTTGCTCTTTCCTAAAATATTACAGATAGATGATCATTTATGAGAGTACAGGTTACTTCACAAAGAGATCATCTAATGATTGGAATAACAGGAAAGATAAATTGAAATATAAAGAAAAATAGGTTTGGGGTTTCCATAATGTAGAAAATACAAGAAAGATTAAATCTAGTTTCTGAGTGCATATAAATATTAGCATACAAAGCAACCGATGATAAAATATCTTATGTTTTATGGGTTTGGTATAATGCCCAGCAAACCAAACATGCTTAATAAATTTTAAGTGGTATCAACAATATTCCCTTGTGGCTGACAGAGAGTTAATGTTGCCACTTTAGGAAACCTTATTAACCCTTTAACTATGGTGATTTCATCAAGTGAAGAGGGAAAAGGTTTACTGGGCATCAGTAGTGTGGTGGAAATAATGTTTCCCCCCACAGTGAATAGATGTCTGTCTCTCATTGGGATAATCGATTCTAATATTATTAAGCACAGGCCCAATAAATCTGTTCTTGTATTTTCCTGATACAAATACAATATACCTACCACTGCTCAATATCTTTCATATGTGAAGTAATAAAACTGATTTGATAGGAAATCTTGTACTTTACATGTAAATTGGATTGCTATGGGCCATTAGACTTTTTACATAAACAATATATTTTGTTTAAAAGGAAAAAACTGTGTTCAGTTTAACATTCTGAAAGTTCATAATGTACGAAATCACATTAGCAGAGTAAATGGTGTCGGGAAGGAATCTGTGGCATGGCCAACAGAGGCATCAAGGGGAAAGGAGCCTTAACTTCCAGTAAAACAACTTCTGCTCCCATGGGTGATTTTAACAAGATGGCTGCCAAGAGGTGAAAGCTCACTAATGTCAGGTGTAATTAAAAACCTTAATTCCAGAATCCTCCTCTAAAGCATTCACAGTGTACCATGCCCAGGGGCTGAAGCAGAGAAGCAGAACCAAGGTAGCAAATTATTTGCCTCTTTGAGAAGGCAGCAATTGCTACACAGAAAGGTGATGACATATTGAGGCCAAGTCTGGCAATACAATATGATGTCACAGGCCCCAATTTTGTTATCAGATAATAGCCTTCATTCTGGTAGGTCAGTATCTTATTCCTTTGCTTATTTATCTCCATTATGCACAAAATCTGCAAAGCCAGAATTCAGGAGACAAACCTTGCCCAAATGCATTGCACTATTTGCATCTCGGCCTCCTTTGTAACACTGATCCTCGTGCTCTGCCACAGCTGTCAAAGTAATGGCTTTTTTTTCCCTTTTTATCTGGGTTGGCTTTATTCCCAGATTCCAAATGAAAGAGACAGCATTTTACTTGACCACCCCATTCCAACTGTTAAACACTGTGCCTTCAGGCTCCGATGCTCTAATGGTCGATTAAAGTTGATAAGTCTGTCCAATTTCCATTTTTGAACATTCAGCTTGCTGAAATTGTAATATTGTGAAAATCTGAAGTCTTCAGGACCTGACTGAGAATCTCTCTGGATGTCAACACATAATAATAAACAAGGGGGAGAAAAGTATTGCCAACAGGACTTCACATTTGTAGAGCTCGGGTTAGCTATGTGGCCTAGCCAAGTTTGCGTAGAGTCGAAATGGATGATGGCTCAGGTAGTCTATCAATCAGGATGTGGAATGGAGCCACTCACAGTGTGGTTTACATCTGTAGAAGGCAAACATCCTCAAAAACTCATTGACCCACTGAATAGCATATGCATTTCCTTCCTCACCTGCCTTACCAAGCCATCAGTCCTTCTTGCTCTTATTAGAGATCCTTCCTTAATCTGTTTGGCAGACTCATAATTTACAGCTCCTAGACTTTGTTGTTAGGGTCAAAGGGTTACAGGGATACAAATCTAATTGAAATATTTTTGGAAAATCTGATTTCTCAGTGGATTGGACTAAAATAGTTTGACACAATCTCTTTTTTCAAACCAAGAGTGGTCTTTCTTGGACCTTAGAAAAGCAAAACCAAACCCAGAGATTCTGAGATGGATTTGTAGACCAGTAGAATTCCAAGATACACAGTTTGATTCCAGTCTTCTAAGTAATGGAAAAAATAAAAAAAATTCACCATGAGCCATACTCCCTCTATTTGCAGTATGCAGGCTACTCAGTTCCTTTCATTGTACTAGTCAGCTTGCCTTTCTTAGCCACGCTGGAATTCTTTCTCTGAACGTGAATGATCTCCCAGAGTTCTCATCTTTGGTAGGCTAGTCTCATCTTTTTCAATCAATTGCTCAGCTCCAGGATGCTTTTTTCATGTTGGGAAAGCAATTGCCCATTTTCTGAGTCTTTGCTGCTAAAGTAAGTGCAGAAGCATTCTTCAGACTCTGCCAAATTTATCACTGCCGATAAATATGACAGTTCTGGGAATGTGGCTTCAATCTCCCCTTCTAGCCAGGCTGAAATGAAGACTAGGGAATTTGAAGGGCCAAATATTTAGTCCTCTATGTTATTACCACATCACAGAAGCTGTGCTTACTTTTTTTTTCTAAGACAAGCAATTTTTATATCTACTTCTTTTACACCAAAATACTTTATGTCTAAAACAGATATCGTTGCTTAAAAAACAAGTTTCACTCCACCTCTGTCCAGCAACTTGAACTCTAACTCCCGCCCATTTCATGTCTGTCCTGGGGCCCTTCTTCACAAGAGAAAAGGCATCCATAGTTTGTTATATGCAACTAGATAAGAACATAAAGAAATTTCATATCAAACATTTGAAATAAAAAAAAGGACTCCAGAATTTTTCTGTCTCCTAGTTTTGAACCATGATGATAGTAGAAAATCTGCCCCACAGTTTATAAGCACTGATGATATTTATCTTTATTGTTCTTTTTATTCCTGCTATTGAAGATGCTAGTGCTTGATGTTTATTGCTGGAATGTTTGTAAATTCCTGGAAGCTCATACGTCAGACAATGTGTGTAACTTAAAGAGAAGAAAAAGACTCCATCTTCCGGGACTGTCTTTATTTCCTAGAACTAGCTATCGATATTTGCCTGGTAGAAGCTTTAGGTCACAAACTCTCTGCCCCAAAAATCTGTTTCTCTCTACATGTCTGCCATAGTCTCATTGATTTTCTTCTCCTTCTCCAGAAACCCTTGAAAAATCCTGATACTTTAGATAATAGTAATAATAGCAGCAGTGAACACTTACATAGCACTTTATCATGTGCCAGACACTCTTCTAAGCATATTGCAAGGATTAAGTCATTTAATCCTTGTGACACTCTGTGAGGCAGGTACCATTATTCTCCCCATTTGACATAGATGAAGAAATGGGTTTGCACAGATTTGTTACGTAATTTGTCCAAGGCCACATAGCTAGTGAATGGTGAAGATGAGATTTAAACCCAGGAAGTCTTGAGGGGAGAGTCTTCTGCTTGGTTTATCCTGGGGGTAAACTTCTGAAGACCTCCTGTTTTCTTGGCCTTTCGGCCTTCTGCCTTGCTGTGTCCTTGAGTGTCCTTTTTCTCCTCCCTCTCTGCATGGTATTTTATTTTGATTGGTTGCTCAGACCCCTTATCCACAGGAGCCCATATTCGGCAGACGCAATTCCAACTG
The DNA here is from genome assembly GCF_000001405.40 of Homo sapiens. NCBI lineage: Eukaryota > Metazoa > Chordata > Mammalia > Primates > Hominidae > Homo > Homo sapiens. The sequence goes on along the minus strand of NC_000002.12, from coordinate 23,105,235 downwards.
AAACCCTGTCTAGGCCTTATCCTCAATTAAGAGCCCATTTCCATTCCAACTGGGATGTCTGGGAAGCGGTGCTGTTCAGAGCCTGGTGTTGGAATTACCACACAATGTTTGGGTCTCCTGGATGCCTCTGAGTTGTAGCATTTCCCCAGTTTCCGTTGGGTGTGCTCATTTGGGAGACATTCTGAGGATCCCTCCACATGCCTGGTAAGATGTAGACCTTGGCTAGAGTATGAGCTTTGTGTGCTGTTACTTCAAAAAGATCAAAAGCCTCTGATGTGGATCCATCGCTGAAGTGCATCCTATAGTTCCTTAAGGTAATGCTTAAAAATGCAAAATGAGTGGGAAAGAGAAATTATAATTGGGAAGAAAATAGAAAATAATTAGAATAATAATTAGAAGAAAGCAAAAAATAAAGTGTGTTATGCAATGTCTTCTAAATTGGATAATTTATAGGAAAGTGCTCGAAAGGCCTACAATGCTCTCCAGTGGGAGGTAACATTATTATGATAATTGTTGCATTTGTTTTATTATCCTCACCTTAGGATTCTGGTTTCTGCCAAAGTTGAACATGGAAATAAATCAGTAGATGGCATGGAATTCCTGAAGGCCAGGTGCTGTTGAACAACCCACAGGCAGGGAAGCTTGTCTTCCTGGGGCTCCTGCCTATCCAGTGAACATCCTGAAGATCCAGGGAACAATCAGTTCAGTCCTGATGGAGCAATCAGAAGCTGAAGGAAGAAACCCATCTGTGCTGTAAACCAAAGAGGGGAAGACCAATTATCAAATCCAGGCCACGTACCATCAGTTCAAACTGAAGGGAAAAGATACAGGCCTCCTAAACACAGAACAATTCCAACCTGACAAAGGGCTTAGAGAGAATCAGAAACACTCTTGCAAATATAGCAGAGAAAGAGGCGAGGCTGGAGAAAAAAATAGGCCAAGTAATAAGTGCGAGAGGGGATTGAAGCTAGTAATGACTCAAAAACGGCTGAGCTGCCGAACCTATTTAAAAATCCTCTTAAAAACAGAAGCAGAGAAGAAAAGAATCATGAACGGAAGTGGCACAGGGATGACCTTGAAGAATAATTAAACCAAAACCAAGTGAGGGGCTATTTTGCAGCTCGGAACATAGAGAAATCAGTGTTGGATGGCAGGATTCCGAAGGCATTAAGGGAGCTTGTGCTCTTAAGCTAATTAGTTCACACATTTACAGTTATTTTGGGGAAAAGTAATAGGGATCTAAGGATGCTAACAAGAGAAGAGACTATAAAAGGTGGTTTCAATCTTGAACCACGACAGAAGGCTTATGGAAATGCAGTGCAATACGGCTGATGTCAACATGCAATGGGGATGTGAAGGAGGGACCCTGGCATCCAGAGGGTAATGGGGTCATTGGCAAGAACCATGATTGATTTTTTTGGAGAACAAAGGAGGTCCAACAATTGATTTTTTTTTCTTGTGCACAGGAGTTGGCTGAATTTTAAAAGATAGCATAAATCTTTGAACTTTACTCACACAGTTGGCACCAGGGTTCACATCATTTATTTCAAAGCTGAGGTAGCTTGGCTATATGGGCCCTTGCCACATGGATCTGGAGTGTCTGGAAAACTGCAGCAAAAGACAAGGCAGTGGCAGTTTATCCTGCTCATGGCTGGATGGGGAATAAATTATCCTGGTGAACGAAAGCTTCAGATGATTCTCAAATAGAGGATTCTGAAAGAGTCTCTGATAATGTGAAGTCCTACACCATGAGCTTAGGAAATTGTAAGATGATATTTGGCTTAGGGTAAAACTAGGTGCTGTCTTAGTAACGTCACTGTGCTTGAGAAGATTCTTACCTTTGATGGATGACTGGATTGTATGAATTCTTATGTTCCTTACATATTTGATATTTTATAGTGCTAGGAATAGTGGTTGTCATAATTTTCAAAGAGTGGGAAGAAGGCAGGCTAACCAGAGGGTAAGTTGGAATCCCAAGGGAAGAGAAGAATTTCTGGGGTACTGAGGAATGCAGACCGTTTGATGCTCTTCTTTCTTCATCTTATGCTGCACTTCAGTTCCAAGACTAAATATGCTGTTTCTATTGCCCCTGCCATCTTGAAGCTTTGTACTTTTAATACCATAACCCATAACCCATCTGATTCATGCATCCTCCATTGTTATTCCCAACTTGAGCTTTACTTCATTTTAGGTAGAATCTTCCCTATGAGAGTGCAGGGTAAATTAAAAAGTTATATAGAGACCAAAAGGAATACATAATCTAGTACTTTAATGGCGTGATTTAGAAAACCTTGTTGACAAAGCTACATAAGTCTGTAGTATTCTGAATGGGTAGGATGACAAAGTGATCAGAATTGATAAAATGAAAGAGGCTGATAGATGACATAAAATGTTCTGACTCATAATTCTCCTGAAAGCCCTCTCCCTGTATGACGCCATTGCCCTGGAAGCTCCCAGGGCAAATTTATTTTCCATTTTGCAGATGAGAATATTGAAACACAAGTCAAGGGACTTCTGGTTTCAGCTCTTACATGTAAACAGTTTGGAAGTCATCACTCTCATTCCTACATGAAAAAAAGCTGAACAAACTGAAAATCAATGACTTTTTCTTGGGCCCATCAGAGAATTAGGTCATGGAACAAACCAGCACTTTGAAATCTAGAGAAACAAGTGAATATCAAACAAAATCACAGCTGAAATCTGCTTACCTGGAGGAGAAGTCAGTTAAATGGTAATTGTGATGAATTGCTTGAGGCTGAGTGTGGACTAGTATCAAAATGAAAAACTCCTGGGGTCCACAGTCTTAGCGGGGATCCTAAGCTTTTCTGGGTTTTGCCTCTGTGAACCCTACTAGAGTCTCACAGTAAAGAGCCAAGAAAGATCTCTCTTTGGCTCTGGCAGGCAGAGATGAAAAGTCACCATTATGAAATAAATTCAAAGCGCCTCCACAAAAAAAGAGCCTGCTTTCCAGGGAAAAAGACTTTAGCAGTGACTTATCTCACCTGGAGGGAGGACATTTACTTGGCTTCAGCCCCCTCTAGACTTTCTGTCTCACCTAAGTAGGGGGGAGTAGCTAAAAACACTTGTGAAAGTCACAACCCAGGGACACAGAACCACTGAAAGACTGAGATTTAATCACAAGATTATGGAATGCTTCCCTTCCCTCACATCTTATTATTATACCAACAGGGCTCCAGTATAATCACAGTGGATTACAGCTGAAAAAACTACAAGATGCAAACTTCATCTAAGGTGGAGTTATTAGGGAAGCCCAAAGACAGCAGAGGAGACAAAAACAAGGGCACTGGAAAAATTTAAAGTCTCTGCTATCTACAGCTACAGCACATATTAAACACAACCCACCTCTAAGCCAGATTAACATAAAACTTCACATTTACCCATTTACCTCAGTTCCTATTGCCCCATACCTCATGTCTGGCTTTCACCTAAACACCACAAAGTATGTTGAAAAGGAAGAAGAAAGAGTCTGAAGAAACAACGTAAGCATTAACCAGACTCAGACATAAAACATATGTTGGAATAATCAGATAGGGAGTTTAAAATACCTATGATTAATATATTAACGGTCCTAATATGAAAAGTAAACATCGTGCAAGAACAGATTGGTATTATAAACAGAGAGATAAAAACTCTGAGAAAGAATCAAAAGGCAATACTATAAATCAAAAGTACTATACCAAAAATGAAGACTAATTTTATTTTTACTTTTTGTTTTTTTATTATTTTTTTAAGTTCCGGGGTACACATGCAGGATGTGCAGGTTTGTTACATAGGTAAACGTATGCCATGGTGGTTTGCTGCACCTGTCAACCCATCGCCTAGGTATTATTTGTATAAATTTATGGAGAACAAGTTTAATCTGGTCACATGCATTAATCACATAGCGGTGAAGTCAGGGCTTTTAGGGTATTCTACACCTGGATGTCTAACTTTCTTGCTATACCTGGGAAATTGGTATCATTTATTTTATTAAATAGGCTTTCTAAACTTTTTAAATTTTTATTCCCCCTCAGAAATACTGATAAGTTATGAGTTTATTTGCTTTATGCAGTCCCAAATGTCTCTAAGGCTGTTTTCATTCTTTTTTATTTTTGTCTGGCTGGATTATTTCAAGACCCGTCTTGAAGGTCTGAAATTCTTTCTTCTGCTGCTTCCTGTCTATTGCTGAAGTTTTCAAATGTATTTTGTAATTCCTTCAATGAATTTTTCAAAAATTTCTGTTGTGTGTGTAAGATATATATCTCCTTGGTAAATTTCTCATTTATATGCTGAATTGATTTGTCTAATTTCTTTGTGTTGGTTTTTGGATTTCTCTTGCATCTTATTACATGTTTTAAAAATAAATATTTGGAATTCTTGTTTTTTTTTTTATTTTTTTTTCTTGAGACAAGGTCTCACCCTGTTGCCCAGTCTGGAGTGCAGTGGTGTGATCACAGCTCACTGCAACATTTACCTCCTGGGCTCAAGCGATCCTCTCATTTCAGCCTCCTGAGTAGCTGGGAATACAGGCATGCACCACCACACAGAGCTAGTTTTTGTATTTTTTTCGTAGAGACAGGGCTTTGGCATGTTTCCCAGGCTGATCTTGAACTCTTGAGCTCAAGCCATCTGCCTGCCTCAGCCTCCCAAAGTGTTATGATTACAGTCATAAGCCACTGTGCCAGGCCTGTTTTGAATTCTTTATCTGACATTTTGAGGATTTCTTTTTGGCTAGGATCTACTGATGAATGACTATGCCTTTGAGGGTGTCATATTACCTTGCATTTTCATGTTTTTTGTTTCTTTATGTTGATATAGGCACATATGGAGCAATAATCACTTCTCATTTTTGAATTTGCTTCGGTTGGGGGAGTGTTTTTTCTTAAAGATGTGACTATAATGTTGGTTGGGTAGGCAAATAGATAATATGAACAATCCTATAGCTATTAAACAATTAAATAGTTAATAGCCTCTCAAAAAGAGGCAACAGGCCCAGATAGTTTCACTTGTGGATTCTACCAAGCATTCAAGGAAGAAATGATGCTAATTTTTCATAATCTCATCCATAAAAATAAGAGCAAAGGGATTACTTTCTGAATCATTCTATTAGGCCAGGATTATCCTAATACTAAAACCAGATAAAGACATTATAAGAAAGTGAAAGTGCAGATCAATAGTTCACATTAATATGAAAGCAACAATCCTGAACAAGATATTAGTAAATTAAATCCAGCATTGTATAAAAAGAATTATATACCACAACCAAATAGAATTTATTCCAAGGCTGTCTCAACATTAGAAAATTAATCAATATAATCAACCATCTTAACGGATAAAAAAGCAAAGTCATATGATAATATAAATTGGTGCCGCAAAAGCATTTGGAAAAATCTGACAACGATTTAGGATAAAAACTCTCAGCAAACTAGGATTAGAGGGGAACTTCTTCAATTTGATAAACAATATCTACAAAAACCCTACAGCTGACATTTAATGGTGAGAGACTGAATGCTTTCTACCTAAAATCAGAAACAAGTCGAAGATATCTTCCCTCATCACTTCTATTCATCTTTGTACTAGAGTCCTACCTAATGAAATAAGAGAAGAAAAGAAGATAAAGTTATACATACTGGGCAGGAAGAAATACAACTGTCTTTGCTCCCAGATGACAAGATTGTTTATATAGAAATTCCTAAAGAATTGAAAACAAAACAAAAACTCCTGGAACTAATATGTGAGTATAGCAAGGTCGTAGGACATAAGGCTAATATACAAAAGTCATATGCTGTCCTGTACACCAGCAGTGAACAATTGAAGTTTGAAATTTTAAAAATCAATTTACGTGAAGTCAAATGCTTATGTATAAATGTAACTGAATACATACAAGACCTATATGTGGAAAACTATAATATTGATGAACAAAATCAAGGAAAATTAATAATTGGAAAGATACTCTGTGTTTATGAGTTGAAAACACAAATCAGGGGACAAATTAAAGAGAGGGCTGGGACTAAACTCTGTTTTCAGATTTTTAAACCAGAAAAGAATTTTAATTTGAGGAACTTTATTTTGATGCCTTATTAATAGGAACAATTTTAAACAATTCATCAATTGATTAACTGTCTAATTTGTTTATATCATTGCTATTAAAATGCAATGCATTGCTCAGAGCAAAAAATTCAAATAGTTTAAAAGGTGATGAAAAGTTTTTCTCCATTCTAAGAAGAAACTACAGTTATCAGTGTCTTGGCTGTGTTTCCAGAAATGTTCTATCGTACACAGTCTTTCAGATGGTAAGTCAGAATCTGTGGCTAAAGAAGTTAGAGAGAATGTTGACTGTTCCATTTGTGAGATCTTGATATACCATACATACTTGTGAGCTTTTACTTTCTTCTTTGCATTGGTTTTAATTTTTAAAATAATACTAATTTTTATAGTTCACTAAAAGGATGAATTTTGTAGTTAACATGCAAAGTTTCTGGTTTCATTTGCCCTCTATTGCTTTTGTGCAAATAATCCAAGAGTGAGGTCAGGGTTGGTGAGATTTGACCTCTTCTTTTTGAGTATGCATTGAGTATCAATGTTTATGTGGAGTTTGGAAAGGAGAAAATATCTGGAAAAGAGAGAAAACAGGAGAGAGGAAAGTACTGTTTCTCTCCTTGTCTGTCTGTTGCTTTTTCAGGACTGCTTAGTGGTGTGCAAAGGGGTGTTCCCAGGCCTTAACATCTACCCTGTGGATATCACTATTTTGGAAGCCTATTAGTAGCAGCAGTTAGACTCATATAAGTTCCTAAGCCTTTAAAACCTAGGACTGCAGTTTGGAACCTGAACCTGTGTAATTGTCTATGGTATGATTGTGGATGCGGAAGTTCTGCATTTTTAAAAAGTTCTCTCTGCCTCTCCACTCAAAGTCTCTTAGTCTCCTTCATTCAGCAACACTAGTGTGAAGTGAGAAGGGAAATGTGCAGAGAAATCTATCACACTCTTATGCTCATTATTTTCACCGCTGATACCTGGCACTGACTAAAACCAATTCCATCTCCCTATTTTCCATGTTTCTAATTTCTTGCAAACCATCACAGATATTGCAGATTTTAGTAGGCAAATTGCATACCATGCTAATGAACATAACAAATCAGTTGAATAAGCAGGAGCTTGATGTGCAAGAATAAGCACCGTGATAACACTGTTGCATGAAAGTTGCTTTGATCGGTGTTGTAAATGAGGCCTTTCTCCTGGGGGTTCCACGTGCTCTGAGGTTGAAGCGAACATGAACCTCTCCTCTGGGTCACACCACCAGCATCAGTGTGGGGCCCTTGGGTGTGGTGCCCTGGACTGAGGCTAGGGCTGAAGCTAGGCCTGGGACAAGGATTTGGAGAAGGAGAGAAATTGGAGAATGGCTTCCTGCTGCCCTTGAAGGCTTAAAATTTAGGAAGGGACACAGAACATTTGTATAATCTTACAAGCATTATCTTAGTGGAAATCAAATAATGCAATAGCCCGGAGTACTTTGAACAGTGCCAGAGTCTGTGTGGGAGTAAAGAGAAGCATTGGGGATGTTACCGGAAGATATCACAAGGCATAGGGTTATCCATGGTAACTTTTCAATTGTGATTGGCAAGCTGTCCTCAATTCACTATCTCGAGGCTCCATGGAGCAAGATCATGTTCCCAGATGTTCTCTTTTGGAGTCCAGCCAGATATGGCCACTAGCTTTGCTCAGAATTAGCTCAAAACTTGATGTCCTGTCTGAGATACTTTGGCTTAGTGACATTTCCTGTAATGGGGCACTCCCTGTCTATACAGGCATGTGCAACCCACTGACAGTAACTCCAGGGGGAGTCTGGTGGCTTTGGTGTTTACCCCAGTAGGCTTGAAAAACAGCATGTCTCTTCCTGGCATATCTTCCCTTTACTGGTTTTCATCTTTCCAGTGCTCTTGTCTTGGAGAAGATAATATAATTGTTATTGTTGTTTCACATCATTTCTTAGCAGAGTAATTGTTGTGTTTCCAATGCCTTGAAAGAATACCTTAGATTGTCCTGAAATAGTGTGATCTGAGACAAGTTGTCTGTCAAATCTGTGGATGTGTGCAAGGGCAAGCTGGGTGAGTCAGATGCCTCCCGTCACCAGATGAATCACTGGAAAACTTAGTAGGAACTGTCCAGTGGCAGGCTTAAATATATTTACTTGACATCACTTGGTTCTTCTGACTTTAGCTTGCTTATTTCGGAAAGAAGGAGGGTGGTGCTGGGTGCTGCCAGCTGTCTTTGTCTGCTCTGGGGAGTGCATAGACCTGGAAGTGTTGATCTGTTATTGTACATTTGCACAGTGCAAAGTTCAGAGTGGTCACAGAGCTTGATGGTATCTGAAGGATTCTGCAGCCTCCAAGTCAGAAGCAGCCCTCTTAAGTCTTGCATTAAATAAGGCCCCATCTTATAAGGAGGAAAATGAGGTGAAGCTGAAAATACACAGATTTAGTTAACTTACCCAGTGTCCCATCACTAGAGTGTATCAGAACAGTAAAAACACCTATCCTGTCCCCATGTGAGATGTTGATCTAACTTGGTGACTTTTTGGAAGCCTTCCTTTAGTGCAGATTCATTTCAAAGAGCTCATCTCAGGCCTGCTATCCTTAAGGAGAATGTGTGGGGTATGGAGGCTGCTTAAATCACCACCGAAAACATTTGAGGACTAAGGGAGTAGTTTTGACTCACTATTCACCTTTCTCCTTCTTTGAAGAATACACAGATTTCACTAAATTCACCCACACATCCACAACCCCTTCAATGCATTTATCATATCAAGTTTTCATTTTTATCTGCTGGCATAACTCAATGTAGGCCCATATTTAACCATCCTTATTGTGTTTTTCTAATTATACATTTTTTTCTTTGCCTCCAAACTGTCTTTTTAGGGATATGGCTTAGCTGTTTCTTTATGTTTTAAGGTTACAGTGGGAATTTATTTTTTCTTCTTCATGGCATCAATAAAGCTAAACTATATTCAGTACCAATACAAAGATATAGCTTTGTTGTTCCTTCACCAAGATCTTCACCCTTGCACTAATATAGTTTGATTAGGACAAGTTCAGCTCTGTGACAGTCTTTTTCACATATCTCTCTGGGACCTAATTTTGATATCTATAAAACAGGGATAGTTATGAAGCAGATGGGTCCAAACACCTCAAGGCTGTTGTGAGGACAAAAGAAGTTAATATACATGAATGAGCTCCCAAAGACCTTACATGGGTCCTTTGAGTAGGGGCATTGACACTTCTCTTTTGGTCCCTGCCTTCTGCCCTCACCCAGTCTCTCCTCTCGTACTTCAGTCTCAGATGCATCATTGTGCCTCTGAAATGTTTCATTGCCACACTGCATGTATTAGTTTACTATTATTTACTTATCTATGTTCTACCCCAGACTCTAGTAAATCTGAGATCTTTGCTTTGGTTTCTCTGCATTTGCGTTCATGGAGCAACTGGATTCCCAATTCTTAAATATTTGTTGAATAATTGAGTTATTGTTACCACCTATAACTGTGTGAAATAAAACCAAATATTTTTTCCATATTTTTTAGGTCTGAGATAAACTATGTCTTGTTTTACGTAAAAATCACAAGAGCCTCATGATGTTGATGTTATTAACCTCTCTGTTTTATAGTTGAGAAATTGGAGGCAATTTGCCTAAGGACAGAGAGCAAGTAATACTGGCTAAGGTGGGATTTGAACTCAGGAAGTATGACTTCAGAGCCTTCATGCTTAAACAGCATACTGAAACATTTCTTGGGAGCAACAGTGGGGTTTGCAGTTATCCCAGCTGCTGGCTTATCTGAGCTTCAGCCAGCTGAAGTCAAGGGACCAGGGAATCTTAGAGTTGAAGTCCTCAGGTGTGATGACTTACCTGAATGCTCCACACATGTGACTGCTTCAGCCATTGGAATTGCGTGACCACTGAGCAGATTCCAGAACATGTTCTCAGTGGTGCACATCAGATAGGTCTTAGTCTATGTCCAGATGTGCTCTTTTCTGAGTGAAGTTTGTATTTTTTCTCTAGAATTTCTGTTAGTCGAATAATATCAGATTGCTAGAGATCTTTTTATTTGCTTTTGTTTGTTTTAGTTCTATCTGCCTGAAGACATACTACTCTTTGGTCTTTCCTTGGGATGGGTCCTCTGTAGCAGACAAGTCTGCAACACCAACGTACTTGTTCCCTCCTGCCTTCTCCTCCCTACATCCAAGTCCTTTTTGTTGTAAAGCAAACAAGACTGTTATTTTAAAACCACTGGCTCTGAGATGTGTCATCTTAATTTTCATCTTGACTTTCTTCCCTGCAGTCCTTCTATAAGCTAGAATTAAAAATTAGATATGTTTTGGAAATATGTTTAGAATTAGAAATAAGGTGTTCTCTTCCTTGTACTTTGAGCATTCCTCAGCCTTCTTTCCTCTCTCTTATCTGTTTTCTGACTTTGTAAATTGTTGTGTTGTAGTGGCTGCTCTATGAGGTAGTCTAACTTGTAATAAGGATGTGATGTGTAGTTGGAATGGCAGGTTCTGCAATGAGGTCACTGAATCCAGGACAGGTAAACAACATGTTATTTGTCTAACTTCAAAAAATCCTTACAAATGCTCAATTTTTCTTGCCAGAGTTGATCCTCATTACCACATTTTCTTATTTACCAGGATGGGAGTAGGCTCACTTGATGGAGAAATGCTATCCTGGTTAAGTGTATAGATAGACAACTTTTTCAGGGCCTCATAGGGCAAAAGAATGCTTGATCTGGATGTTTCTCTTTACCTTAGAAGCATGTACCACTGTGGCCAGAAATCTAGAAATCTATTTTTTTATATTGGAAGTCATTCAAGTTTTTGAAAAAGTGATGTACAGATCCTTGAGCATTCCCTGCTGCCTCAACTCTCTCCCTGAATATGGAGAGCCTGGAGACTATCTACCTTGTATCTAGGAATTTGGGAAGGATAGGCAATATTGCTCCCACCAAAACATAATTGACCCACTCCTGCCTCTGAGGCTTTGTTAATTGAATTATCATCCTGCAACACTTACTCCCATTTTTTTCTGACTGCATATCCTATTATTTAAGCTCAATTAAGGTGTTGCCTGCTCTCAGAAGCCTTACCTGACAAAGAAAGTCAACAGTCCTCCTCTGTATTCTGATAGTTCTTGCTGTCTCTAGCCATCATCTAGCATACGCTTTTAATTAGTTTTCTTCATGCTTAATATTTTCCACTAGATTGTAAGCTCTTCAAGGCCAATGGCTCTGCCCTTTTCAATCTTTGTATGACCAGAGGCCTTCTAGCACAGAGATTTGTTTATAGTAGGTGTGAAATAAATGTGTGATATTGGCTGATTTATGAGCATGCCCTCTAATACAAGACATATGGAGTTCATTGGCTTGGTGCTTGAGTGTCACCACCCCCACACCTCCACCCTTTTCTCCAAGTTATCCTCTTGGCCTGGCCCAGCTGAAGCTGTGGAAAGTAGATAAATCATCCAGCTCCTAGGTCAGACAGCTCAGAGACAAATGAACACAGCAGGTCGTTGCCACTATAATGATGCAGTGGCTGTTCTGTTTGCCAGTTACTGGACAAACAATAGATTTCCTTCCTTCTCTTAACTTTAATTCCATTTCTCATAAGCCTGAAATTGCAGTTGCTTTTTCCAACTTCTTTTCCCCCCACCCTGCCCTAGTTCATGTCAGTGTTACCTTAACTAACATTTTTATGGCTTGAAAATCAATTCAGCACCAGATATAAAGACATTCTCTGTCTCAAGCCTTTGTTCTCAGCACTAGCCTCACACCCTCCATTGGCCCAGTGCTGTAGCTTCGAACCTGCTTCAGGGTCTCTAGTCTCTGATTCCTTTTTTTGTTTGAACTTTTGTTAGATCTGCATTGATGTTTATGAGATAGACTTTCTCTTGCTCTCCTTTCATTGATTTATTTTCAGATAACATAATCTTTGTAATTATGAAGTTGAAAAGATATTGGTTTGAACAATCCTTGTTAATCGTAAGCCTCACTTATTTTACCCTTTTCAACTTAATGATCTTGGAAGACAGAAAAGAGATTCTGGGCTTAAAGCGGGAGGTTTGGAAAAGATTTCACTGGTTCTCAATGGCCAGGTGCAGAGCCGTATTTAAGATCCTTTACCATAGAGATTCAGATTATTTTGTCAGTTCTTTCTTTAGGCCAGCTATGCTGTCTTTAAATTCAGCACCATGGATAGAGGAGATTAGGGGCAGGGATGCATGAAGCAAAACCCTGCCTGGGGAAGTTTTAGTAGCACACAAAATGATTACTTTTATTCTCAGGAATGGTCTTATGAGTTGAGAAGCCCTATACAGGACACCTTTGCTGCCCTGAATGAACACCTGAGCTGAAATAAGTTTTACTAAAAAGCATTCACATCGAAATAAAAATATTAAGATTTGAATTCCAGTATTTATGTTTCCTAGGTACATGACTTTGTGCCTGGTAAACTTTCTGAGAACCAACTTCTGCTGTACAGATATGTTTGGGAAACTACTACCCTGAGAAGATGTAGAGTGTACTTCTAAGTTGGGTTTACATTCTGGGTCTACTCTTTACTTTGGGATCTTGGACAAGTTACTTAAATTTTCTATGGCTGTTTTCTCATCTCTTAAGAAGGTGAAAGGGGTACTTTATTCAAAATGTTGATGGGAGACTTAAGTGGGATATTACATGAAAAATTCTTAGGAGAGTATATGGCATACAGTAAGTGCTACATTATCATCACTATAATTAATAAAATTACTGTAAAAATTACATGAGATAATATATGTAGAAAGTTGGACAGGGACTAGCCATGCAATAATTCTGGTTATACTTTCTTTTCTCCTCATTGATGTTTGAAATCACTCCATTCCTTTGCATTAAGCATTGACCTCAAAGACTTATAGCACCCTTGGAAGAGGATTTATTTTCTTGTACACCTGTGTATGTTTGAATTAGTTCGTCACTTACTGTGGGACAGAAAAACGTAAAAGTTCTGGGTGCTAGAGCTAGGGAGAGTGGGCCAGGAAAGAAAGGATAAAAGATTGCTATACTGTTTTCTGGTTTGTTGAAGGGGTGAGTGTAATTTAGAGAATTAAACGCTAGGAGTCCTCTTCATGATCCTATGCAAAAGGCTCACCATCCACACATCGTAGCTGCAGGCTTGTTGTGATTTGCTATATGAGACTCTAGAATCTTATTGAGAATGGAAAAGAACTCATATAATATGCATAGAAATCCAGAAGCTCTGCCTAATGGTCTTGGAAATTGTGCCTCTAAACAGGCATCCTTTTGCTTCATTCATTCATTTATATATTCACATATTGTACATTAATTAATTTATACTCAATAAGCATTTATTGATAATTTACTGTATCTAGGCATAATGTTAAGGATTATAGCAGAGAAATATGATTTAGACTAAAGGCTGCCATCAGGCATTGGGGAACACAAAACATATATGAAAATCATTAATTAAGTGAATCAATAAATATTAAGTATTTAATATTGTGTCTGGCAAATAATTGGGATTTAATATTTGTTAGATGAGTTTACTGTAAGTTTTTATTATTTATACTATCAAGTTTGATGAATTACTGTCTACATATGGGGTTTACAGGAGGAGTGAGATATTGCTCTGTTGGGGGCTGAAAGGAGATATCTTCAGAAAGGAGGTTGCATTTGAGATGGGCCTTGAGGCAGGGGTATAACTTGGTCATGGACAAATGGAAAGGAAGTGGGTCTCTAGCTGAAAGGTATGGTGTGAACCACAAGGCAGTAGGAAATCACAGGAGATTGATCATGAAAAAATACCAAGTACTTTGAAGTAGAAGAAACATTATGTACAAGTATTGAGAGATGAGACTGGGAAGGTAGGTTAGAGATTTATCTTGGTAGCTTTGAGTGCCAGGCTGCAGACTTTGGGCCTTGTGGTGTGACTGAAGGGGTATCATTCAAAGTTTTATTTATTTATTTAATTATTTATTTATTTATTTATTTATTTATTTATCACTCCAGATGAATAATCAGGTCTTGATGTGTTTTTATAATAAAAAAAAATTGACAGTAGTCAACAGTAACACCATAGTTGCTATTCTTTTTAATGAAATTGTCCTGTGAGAATTCCAGGTATACAAAATGAACCCACCTAGTCATCCAAATTTTGGATAATAATCTCTTGATTTGTGATTTTCTATTTACAGATTCAGCCATGTCTTCCTAGGATCCAGCATCCAAACCTGGACCAAAGTCCTCGGATCCTCAGCAATGGGGGTGCATCTGGTGATGGTGTTCATGCTAAATTTGTGCCAAGAGACACCTGTACTTGTGGGAGAATTAATATTTCACTTCTGTTTAGGTTTCTTTTCTGGGAGCTGCTATCACTGAATACATAAAGAAATTGAGCCTATATGATTTCAATCTTCACCTTCTGATGCTGATGAAACAGGATTCTATGCAGGTGAGTGGGCTGAGGAGCCACGAGGTTAAGGGAAGTTCTGTGGGATATGAGGGGATCCTTTACTCCATTTCCTGTTTTCCCTCCTCTTTCCTCTTTCTCTCCTCCTCTTTCCTCTCCCCTCCCCTCTTCTCCCCTCCCCTCTCCTCCTCCCCTCCCCTTTGCTCTCCTCTCCTCTGCCTTTTTGTGTTAGTCAGGGTTCTCTAGAGGGACAGAACTAATAAGATAGATGTATATATGAAAAGGAGTTTATTAAGGAGTACTGACTCACAGGATCACAAGGTGAAGTCCCACAGTAGGCCACCTGCAAGCTGAGGAGCAAGGAAGCCAGTCCAAGTCTCAAAAGTACGGAAGCTGACAATGCAGCCTTCAGTTTGTGGCCAAAGGCCTGAGAGCCCCTGGCAAACCACTGGCATAAGTCCAAGAATCCAAAAGCTGAAGAACTTGGAGTCTGATGTTTTAGGGCTGAAAGCATTCAGTGTGGGAGAAAGATGAAGCCCAGAAGACTCAGCAAGTCTGCTCTTCCATCTTCTCCTGTATGCTTTATTCTAGTCACACTGGCAGCTGATTAGATGGTGCCCAACCAGACTGAGGGTGGGTCTGCCTCTCCTAGTACACTGACTCAAATGTTAATCTCCTTTGGCATCACTCTCACAGACACACCCAGGAACAATAGTTTGAATCCTTCAATCCAATCAAGTTGACACTCAATATTAACCATAATGTCTCCCCTCCTCTCTCCTCCTCTTCTTTCCCCTCCACTCTTCTCCCTCTCTCAACATGCATATGCACTTGCACACAAGACGCATATATGCACATCATATGGAGCCTCAGGCAAGATTATATGAAAGTCAGCTTCAACCTTGATATGGTTTGGCTCTGTGTCCCCACCCAAATCTCATCTTGTAACTCCCATAATTACCACATGTTGTGGGAGAAACCCAGAGGGAGATAACTGAATCATGGGGGCAGGTCTTTCCTCTGCTATTCTCGTGATAGTGAATAGACTCATGAGATCTGATAGTTTTAAAAACTGGTTTCCCTTCACAAGCTCTCTCTCTCTTTGCCTGCTGCCATCCATGTAAGATGTGACTTGCTCCTCCTTGCCTTCTGCCTTGATTGTGAGGTCTCCCCAACCATGTGGAACTGTAAGTCCATTAAACCCCTCTCTTTTGTAAATTGCCCAGTCTTGGGTGTCTTTATCAGCAGTGTGAAAATGGACTAATACAGTAAATTGGTACTGGGAGTGGAGTGCTACTGAAAAGGTACCCCAAAATGTGGAAGTGACTTTGGAACTGGGTAACAGGCAGAGGCTGGAACAGTTTGGAGAGCTCAGAAGAAGGCAGGAAAATGCAGAAAAGTTTTGAACTTCCTAGAGACTTGTTGAATGGTTTTGACCAAAATGCTGATAATGATATGGACAATAAGGTCCAGGCTGAGGTGGACTCAGATGGAAATGAGGAACTTGTTGAAAAGTAGAACTCTTGTTATGTTTTAGCAAAAAGACTGGCAGCATTTTGCCCCTGCCCTAGAGATTTGAGGAACTTAGAACTTGAGAGAGATGATTTAAGGTATCTGGCGTAAGAAATTTCTAGACAGCAAAGCATTCGAGAGGTGACTTGGATGTTATTAAAGGCATTCAGTTTTAAAAGGGAAACGAGCATAAAAGTTCAGAAAATTTGCAGCCTGACAATACAATAAAAAAGAAAATCACATTTTCTGAGTAGAAATTGAAGCCAGCTGCAGAACTTTGCATAAGTATAACAAGGACCCAAATGTTAATCATTAAGACAATGGGAAAAATGTCTCCAGGGCATGTCAGAGACCTCTGTGGCAGCCCTTCCCATCACAGACCTGGAGGCCTAGGAGAAAAAAATGGTTTTGTGGGCTGGGCCCAGGGCTGCTGTGTCCAGTCTAGGGACTTGGTGTCCTGCGTCTCAGCTGCTCTGGCTGTGACTAAAAGGGGCCAAGGTACAGCTTGGGCTGTGGCTTCGGAGAGTGTAAGCCCAAAGCCTTGGCAGCTTCCATGTGGTGTTGAGCCCACAGGTGCACAGAAGTCAAGAATTGAGGTTTGGGAACTTCCATCTAGATTTTGGAGGATGTATGGAAATTCCTGGATGCCCAGGCAGAAGTTTGCCACAGGGGTGGGACCCTCATGGAGAACTTCTGCTAGGGCAATGGGATCAGAGCCCCCACACAGAGTCCCTACTGGGGTACTGCCTAGTAGAGCTATGAGAAGAGGGCCATCACCATCTTCCAGACCCCAAAATGGTAGATCCACTGACAGCTTGCACCGTGTGCCTGGAAAAGCTGCAGACACTCAATGCTAGCCTGTGAAAGCAGCCAGGAGGGAGGCTATGCCCTGCAAAGCCACAGGGGCAGAGCTGCCCAAGATGATGGGAACCCACTTCTTGCATCAGCATGACCCAGATACGAGACATAGAGTCAAAGGAGATCATTTTGGAGCTTTAAGATTTGACTGCCCCACTGGATTTTGAACTTGCATGGGGCCTGTAGCCCTTCTGTTTTAGCCAATTTCTCCCATTCAGAATGGCTGTATTTACGCAATTCCTGTTATCCCCATTGTATGTAGGAAGTAACTTTATTTGCTTTTGATTTTACAGGCTTATAGATGGAAGGGACTTGCCTTGTTTCAGATGAGACTTTGGACTGTGGACTTTTGAGTTAATGCTGAAATGAGTTAAGGCTTAGGGGGACTGTTGGGAAGGCATGATTGGTTTTGAAATGTGGAGACGTGAGATTTGGGAAGGGTCAGGGTGGAATGATATGATTTGGCTCTGAGTCCTCACCCAAATCTAATCTTGTAGCTCCCATAATTCTCATGTGTTGCAGGAGGGACCCGGTGGGAGATAATTAAATCATGAGGGTGGGTCTTCCCTATGCTGTTCTCATGATAGTGAATAAGTCTCACGAGATCTGATGGTTTTAAAAATGGGAGTTTCCCTGCACAAGCTCTCTCTCTCTCTCTTTTTGCCTGCTGCCACCCATATAAGATGTGACTTTCTCCTGCTTGCCCTCTGTCATGTTTTTGAGGCCTCCACAACCATGTGGAAGTATAGGTCCATTAAACTCCTCTCTTTTGTAAATTGCACAGTCTTGGGTATGTCTTTATCAAGAGTGTGAAAATGGACTAATACAGACCTGCAGTTGGGTGTTTGGCTTTGTCAGCCCCTGGTCCTATAACTGACACAATAGCCCCTTCTATGCTTTCAACCATAAAAAGTAGTTTCCATGCTGGTTTAGTTGAGTGGTGGTAGTGATTGTGAGGTAGACCCTAAAATAGATCATGGCAGCTCAGCTGTCTCATTGACCTGGGCATATTCAGACTGTATAGAAATGATTAGAATGTGTAAGTATAAAGCACCTTCAGAGAGTGGTTGAATTTGGAGAGGAGCTTTGGCAAGGAATTAAACCAGCTCCAGGTACCTCTAAGCAGCTGAGTCTATTGAAGACAGATGTGAGTTGTCCTTTGTATGAAATGTGGCAGCCCAGAACTCATCCCTCTTTGTGCAAGAACAGCCTTGTTTATTCAATCAATTCCTATTTGAGCACCTACTGTGAACCAGGATTGTGCTGGGCCTTAGGGAGACAGCAGTAAACAAGGTAGATGAAAACCTCCGCAGTCATGGAGGTCACTTGTGAAACAGATAGAATGGTCATTTCAGTGGCTTGGTCTCCAGAGGTTGCTCCCTACTTATCGCTCTAAATAGATTTTAGTGAAATGCTTTGGATCAGAGATGGGAGTGTATCGGACCCCATTCATGGGAGGGATTTGAAGTACCAGATCATAGCCAGCTGACCAGATTCAAGCAGGAGGACAGGGATGGAAGCATCTACTGTGGGGTGGATCTCTGGTGGGATGGCTTTTTCAGTTGGCTCTTGACCATTTGAGTTTATATGGAGGGCAATGGGAGCCAAGAAGACAGAGAAGACCAAATGCCAAAAAGATTCAGGAAGGCTTCTCAGGGTCAGTGACTTAATGGACTTTCAGAGAGAAAAAGTTTTCTTTCAAATAAGGGATTAAACAGTAAGTCAATATTGGATTGACTGAAAATTGGGCTGACTTTTGAGATAACAGAGAGGTGCCTAAGAAAACCACATAGAATGACAAAGATTGAACAGATTTGCCCTAGGCTTGAAGGTCTGTAGCCTGCATCTTCCTCCAATGCTTTTTTCCTCCTTTTTACTCCTGCATTTGCATTGTTACTGGCACAGCCTTTGGTATCTTTGTAGGATCCCTTCACTGGCCTGTCTGCTACCAAATCCTGCCACATTGTACCACAGTCATGTGTCACTAAATGACATGGATATGTTCTGAGAAATGCGTCACTGAGTAATTTTGTCACTGTGGAAACATCATAGAATGTTCTTACATAGACCTAGATGGAATAGCCTGCCACACACCTAGGCTTTACGGTAGAGCTCATTGCTCCTAGACTGAACACCTGTACTTGCATGTGATTGTATTTAATACTGTAGGCAACTGTAACACAATGGTAGGTATTTTCATATCTGCACGTAGAAAAGGTACAGTTAAAACATGGTCTTATAAGATCATGGAACCACTGTCATACATGCCGTCAGACATTGAAATGTCATTGTGCAGTGCATGACTGTATAAGCCAAAGTCTATACCTGGCCTTCACCTGACACAGACCAGCCTTATCACACCAGATGCAACACAGATCGTTCTGTTTCTACCAGAGATCCTGTGGCAGCCTGCGGCTCAGAGGCCTCTGTGGGCAAGCTCGGTGGAGCTGGGCCTGCTGGCTCTTTTGTTTGCACACACCAAATTTGAGATGGGCTATCATTAACCAAATGGAGAGCAGCTGTGCTTACTGAGACAGTGTGCCTCCTCAGATCTGTGGACATGTCAGAATTTTTTTTTAGCCAGAATATTTGGCTCTAGAGGCCTCAGAAATATGTGAAGCAGCCTTAGTTAAGGTTCTAAAAGATCCCCCTTCTCTCTGGCTTCATATAGCCTGGGCTGACCTAGTGATGTAGCCTCAAGTTCCTCAGTTAGGGGATCATGCCTTTAGGATGAATAGGGTTTTCCCTTTTGAAAAGCAAATTCCTCTAGCAAGATCTCATATTAAGCAGCTCCCAGCCAATGACATGTATTTTGGTGTGAATTAAGGGCTGGTAACTTCCTCTAGAAATTAAACAAAGAGCTGAAAAAGGAACAGGTGAGAGAGATAAAAGTCCTGAGTGAGACTACCCTCACCTGGAGGATACCAGGTATGAGACATTCACAGATGGAAGGCAGGGTTGCCAAAGACTAAGTTTGCACACCTCAAGATTGTGTCCAATGTTGTCTTAGATGAAACAAGATTAATTTTTATTTATTGTTGCTCTATTGTCAGAGGCATGGTGAGACAGACCTCATTACCCTCTCTTCTCTTTCCCACACATCCTCTATTTACCTCTCCATTTCCTTATCTTGTTTCTGTTCTCAATGGCCCAGGATTCAGGTTGCAACCAGTAGCCCTCAGTGCCTGTCAGCCATGCATTTCTAGGAAGCTAAGAATGACTTATGGGACATCATTTTTGGAATGGAGGTGTTCACAGGCCCTCTCCCCAGTGAAACAACCACAACTGGTGAAAATTATATACATTAAAATTTTTTAAAGTCGCTGAGCATTGTCTTTGGGCCATACAGCAGATGAAGAAATATTTATTCAAGAAAGTTTACTGCATCTTGGTAAGGACGGGAGTACATGGCATTTGATCCGCAATTTGCTTCCTCCCTTCCTACTCTCTCAGCTCACAATGAGGGAATTTCCACACTGGGCAGGTACAACCAAGAATAAAGGACTCCCTCTTCACTCAACTTCCAGTTGAGGGCTCCAGTGTCTCCAAGGGGTAGGGACAGGCCACCAGCATTTTACATCCTCACCACATCTCTGTGTATCAGAGGGTCTATTCCAGGCAAGAATGGCTGAGAGATCTGGGGCTGTCTTCCTCCACTTATGACATACTAATAGGGCAGAAGATCTACCCCAGGCATGGCAGCCAGGAATAGAGGGCCCCATCACCTCACCCTAGCTTGGGTAAAAGTCTCTATGCAAGGAGAGGTAAACCACAAAGCCTGGAGGCTGCCAAACCACCCCAAGGTGACACACATAAAGCTCACAAAGCAGGTGTGACTGAGAGAAGTAGTTCTCTGTCCCTGACCCTCAGTTCTAGAGCAGTGCTGCAGATTTATTACCCAAGGGGAGAGGCAGGGCACAAGATCAAAAAGCACTGAAGCTCTCCCAAGGCTTAGGGGCTTTATTTTTACCACCATGTAAGATAGTACAAACCTAAGAGTGCTCTTAGAAACAATAGGGATTTTGGTGACATGCAATTAAGAGGGGACTGGTTGCTCCATGAAAGCAACAAGCTTAACCTCAGACCATCTAGAAATTTACTGGAGGGAATTATGGAAAGAGACAGCTAAGAGATAGTTTCTTCAGAGACTGGCCTCAAAGATTACCCCTGCAAAGGGACCTAAATTTAATTGCATCAGACTCTGGAGCAATTTACGCCTCAGGGTACTATAAAACATAATAGAACAATTAGCCAGCAATTAGTGGGGGCTAATAGCTGGGCATGATATAAATGGAGCCAGACAACAGAGATAAAAGGGAAAGAGACAGTCAAAGACAGCACTAATAAAACCACTGCCATCTCAGGGTGACAGTGTACATGCCCAAGGATGCCTCCTCTGAGTGGTGACATCAGAGGCTGCATCCTTGGGGGAAACAGACCACTAAAATAACCTAGTCAAGTCACTAAAATAAACAGGCAAACAATAACATCATCAACATCAAGCTGCAGAGCAAGGGATCAGCATGCAGAATTGTTACAATATATCATCTAAAATGTCCAGTTTTCAATAAAAAATTATGAGATGAGAAGAAATAGAAGAGTGTGACTGATACATGGAAAAAAGGCAGGTCATAGAAACTGTGAAGGGCCTAGATGTCAGACTTAGCAGACAAATACTTCAAAGCAACTATTATAAGCATGTTCAAAGAACTGTAGGAAACTGTCCTTAGAGTGGCAAAGGAAGGAAGGCATAATGATGTTTCATAAAATAGAGAATAATGACAAAGAGATAGAAATGATAGAAAATAGATATTGTGAAGGTGAAAGTATGGTAACTAAAATTAAAAATTTACCAGAAGGGCTTAATTGTATATTTGAGCTGACAGAAGAAAGAATCAGAGAACTTGAAGAAAGATCAACAAAGATTACGCAGTCTGAAGAATTAAGAGAAAAAAATGAAGAAGAATAAACAGAGCCTCAGAGAAATAGTGGACACATATGTGTAACTGGAGTACCAGGAAGAAAAGAGAAAAAAGAGAGCAGAAGAAATATTTGAAAAATCATGGCTGAAAACCTCTGAAATTTGATGAAAGCCATTCATCTATACACCTAAGAGCCTCAATAAATTCCAAATATAATAAACACAAAGAAATCCACACTTAGACATATCATAGTAAAAATACTGAAAGACAAACAACACACAAAAAAATCTTGACAGCAACAAGAGAAAAGTACTCATCACATACAAGGGGACCTCGATGAGATTATCAATTAACTTTCTTCCATCAAAGACAATGAATGGAATGACATAGTTAAAGTGCTAGAGAAATAAACCTGTCAACCAACAATCTTATAGCCAACACAACAGTCTTTTGAAAATGAAGATAAAAGAAAAACATTTCCTGATAAACAAAAGCTGAGAGAATTTGCTGCTAACAGACCTGCTTTACAAGAAATACTGAGGAAGTTCTTCAGGTAAAAGCAGGTGATCCCAAACAGTAATTTGAATGTACATGGAAACAACAACAACAAAGAGTAAAGATAATTATGCAACTATAAAGTAAAGTATAAAAGCATATTTCAACAGATTTAGGAAGCAGTTGTGTTAAACTATGCATATAATTGTATTATCAGATCTATTACATATAGAAAGGTAATGTATTTGACAATACAAGTACAAAACAGATATGTGGGAGCAAAGCTGTATTGGAAAAAGGAAATGGCACTAGAGAGTAACTTGAGTCCACAGGAAAAAAGGACCAGAAATGGCAAATACGGGCGACAGAGCGAGACTCCGTCTCAAAAAAAAAAAAAAAAAAGAAGGCTAATACAACACACTCCATAAATAAATACTTGTTATCCTTTGTTCTCTTCTTTAAAAGACGAAGTTACATAAGGTAATTATAACTATGTATTTTTGTATAATGATGTAATACAATAACTGTATATTATATATCTGGATGTAATATGCACATCAGGAATACCACAAAAGGGGGAGGAATGAATGAATAGGGCTATATAGGAGTAATATTGCTTTATCTCACTGGAACTAAATTAGTGTAAGTCTGAAGTAGAGTAATATTGCTTTGTCTCACTGGAACTAAATTAGTATAAGTCTGAAGTATATTCTGATAAATTGATATGAATATGGTAAGCTCTAAAGCAACCACTAAGAAAATAACTCCAGGATACAAAAAAGTAGAAAGAATGAGTAAGATCTAGTAGTTGATAGCACAAAAGGGTGACAATAGTCAATAATAATTTAATGGCGCATTTAAAAATAACGAAAAGAGTATAATTGGATTATTTGTAACACAAAGGATAAATGCTTGCAGTGATGGATACTCCATTTATCCTGATGTGAATATTACACATTGCATGACTGTATCAAAATATGTCAGGTGCCCCATAAATATATACAGCTCCTATGTATCCACAAAAATTAAAAATACACAATTTAAGGAAAGAAAATAACTTCCAAAATATGGTAAAAAATTATTAAAGGAATTAAAATGTTACAGTGGAAAGTATTTGATTAATGCAAAAGAAAGCAGTAAAGGAGGAATAGAGAAACAAAAAGTTAGAGACATATAGAAAACAAAAGTTATAATGGCAGCCATGAATTCAAGTATAACAATAATAGCATTAAATGTAAACAGATTAAACAACCCAGTCAAAAGGCAGAGATTGTCAAATTGGGCTAAAAACAAAAACCATGATTCAACCAAATGATGTCTACAGAGTAAATATTTTAAATTCAAAGATACAAATAGGCTGAATGGAAAAGGATAGGAAAGGATATATCACGTGAACATCAACATAAGAAACCAGGAGTGGCAGTACTAACTTCAGACAAAATAGACAAAAAGCAGAAATCAAGTTAATAGACATAAACAGGAACATTTTATAATGATAAGAGGAGTGTTTATCTATTATGATGATATAACAATTACCATATGTACAACTAACAGTGCCTCCAAGTACTTGAAGCAAAAACTGTCAGAATTGCAGCGAAGATAGGCAATACAAAAAATAGTAGTTGGAGGATTTAATATTCTACTTTCAATAATGGATAGAACAACTAGGCAGAAGATTAACAAGAAAAGACTTGAACAATACTAAAAATCAAGTAGTCCTAACAGAGATCTATAGAACACTCCACCTCAAAAGAGGCAAATACAAATTATTCTCAGATGAACATAGAACGTTCTCTAGGATAGACCATATGGTAAGCCATGAATAAGACTTGTTACATTTAAAAGAATTAGAATTATAGAAAGTGTGATCTGTGATCACAATAGAATGAAATAATAATAGCAAAATATCATAAATATAGAGAAATTGAACAATCCACTTCTAAATAAACAATGGGTCAAAGAAATCAAAAGAGAAATTAGAAAATATTTTGAGATGAAGGAAAGGGAAAACACACATAAAAAATCTCAAAGCAGTGTTTAGAGGAAAATGTGTAGCTTTAAAAAATTGTATTAAAGAAGAAGATCTCAAATCAATAACCTAACCTTTCATCTTAAAACAGTGAAAAAAAGGAGCACACTAAACCTAAAGCAGACAGAAGGAAGAAAATAAAAATAACAGAAATTAATGAAATAGAGAATAGAAAAACAATAGAGAACGTAAGCAAAAGCAAAAGCTATTTCTTTGAAAATATCAAGAAAATTGACAAATCTTTAGCTAAACTGACCAAGAAAAAGAAAAGACTCAAATTATTAAAATCAAGCATGAAGGAGGGGACATTGCTACTGACGTTACAAAAATCAAAAGAATTAGAACACTATGCACGTTTGCATAGCAATTTAGATATTAAATAATTTTAATAAAATGGACAAATTCTTAGACACATATTATCAAATTGACTCAACAAGAAATAGAAAATGTGAACAGACTTCTAACAAGTAAAGAGATTGAAATAGTACATAAAAAACTACAAAGAAAAGTCCTGGCCCAAATTGCTTCACTGGTGAGGAAGAAGTCATACTAATTCTTTACAAACTTTTCCAGAAAAGGTAAGGGAACATTTCTCAAGTCATCCTATTAGGCCAGTATTATCTTGATATCAAAACCAGACAAAGACATCACAAAAAAAAAAAAACTACCAATGAACATTCCTTATGAATATAGAGGCAAAATCCTCACTGAAATACTGAAAGACCTGGTCCGGCAACATATATAATGGATTATATACCATGACCAAATGGGATTTTATCTAAGAATGCAAGGTTGGCTCAACATATGAAAACCAATTAATATAATACACCATATCAATAGAATAAAAGACAAACCATGTAGTTATCTTAATAATTTCAGGAAAAGCATTTGACAAAATTAGCACAATTTCATAAAATATTCAATAATCTAGGAATAGAAGGAAATTCCTCAATCTGATAGAGGTCATTTATTAAAAATCCATAGGCACTTATCATAATTAATGGTGAAAGACTAAATGCTTTCTACCTAAAATCGGGAACAAAATGAGGATGTCCACTCTGATCACTTCTACTCAACGTTGTTGAATTCTGGATTGGACAATTATTCAAGAAAGTGAAAAGACATCCAGATTGTAGAGGAAAAAGTAAAACTGTCTCTATTAGCAGCCAACATAATCCTGTATATATAAAATCCTAAGGAATCCACTAAAAAACTCTTGGAAGCCATAAATGAGTTCAGCAAGCTTACAGAGTATAAGATACATATGAAAAGCAATTGTATTTTCATACTCCAGTGATGAACCCTCCAAAAGTGAAATATACAATTTATTGCAGTGGCATCAAAAAGAAAATAATTATAAATTAACAAATGAAATGCACAATGTATACTCTGCAGGTTACAAAATATTTTGAAAGAAATTAAAGAAGCCTTAAATAAATGTCCTGTTTAGAAAAGCTTTGTCTGTTTCAAGGTCATGAATATATTCTCCTGTTTTCTTCTAAGAGTGTTGTTTCATAATTCATATCGAGTTCTACAATCCATCTGATTTTTTTTTTGCATGTAGTATGAGGTAGGGTTTAGGATTCACTTTTTTCTATATGGATATACAATTGATCCAGTACAATTTGTTAAAAGATCAGTATTTTTCTTCTGCACTGCAGTGGTATTTTTGTCATAAGCCAAGTGACTCTATGTGAGTCAGCTTCTGGATTTTCTATTTTGTTCCATTGGTCTGTCTACCCTTGTGCTGATACTACACTGTCTGTCTTAATTACTGTAGCTTTATAGTAGATGTTGATATCTGATATAGAGGATATCAGCCTTCTCTTAGTTGGTATTTTCCGGGTTTATCTTTTTCAACCCATTTACTTTCTACCTTTCTTCAATTTTTATCCACTCAGCCCTGCGAGATTGCCAAAACGTCTGCTGTTTTCTGTGCTTTTTATCAGTGGTTCTCTGCCAGGTATGTGTGTCAAGAATTGGCTATTTCTCCTAGTGGAAACGTGGCCAGCTAACCTCTGTCTGCTTCTCTTTGCTCAGAGATTTTGGCTCCTCAAGTCCTAAATTGATTTATTTCTTGGTATTTTTTCCTAACTTTTCTAGCTGTTCAGCAGAAACATTGGTCTGCTTACACAACTCTATCCTAGCATCCTAGCTGGAAGCAGATGTCCTAGGACCCCTGATATTTAACTTGCATATTTAAAAGCAGATATTACATCAGAAAATCTGTATTTTTCCCCATTATTTTTTTAAAAAGGAATCACATTATTATTTTAAAAATGCAGGAAAAAGCATTTTGTTAAAATCCAGTACTTGTTTATGATAACAACTCTGTTGGAAAAGTAGAAAAAATAGAAATTTCTTCAATTTGGTAAAAGTCTTATACTAAACACTTACAACAAACATCCAATATTTGCCTCCTTTTATACTCACTCCCTTTAAGATTGCAAATAAGACAAAATGCCCACTATCAACATTACAGTTTACATAGTTAGGGAGGTCCTGGCTGATACATTAGCACATACACACAAAGGTACACACACACACACACATACACACAAGTCAAAAGGAAAAACACAAAATTGCTATCATTTTCTTAGAAAAAGTATCTGAACCAACAAACTATAACAACCAATAAGATTCCAGTTTATATTTCCAGAAAAAAGATAGACATAAAACATGTAATATCCCTCTACATTAGATGTAATGTACTTGAAGATCTAATAGAATATAAAATGTCATTTGCAATATCAACAAAAGCATAACATACATAAAAATCAGATGAAGAATGCATAAAAGACAACTGAAAAATTCTATCAAAGGACATATAAAAAGACTTTAAAAAAAGCACACTGTATATATGAGTGAGTCACTCATTATGAACATAATTCTGCCCCAAATTAATCTATGAATGCATTACAGGGTACTCTCCCCAGGCAGCTCAGGTGGCAGGCTGCAGAACTGGCCCTCATTGCTGTGGGTTCCACACCATTTCTGGGAGCACAATGAAAAGAGAAAAGTAGGGAAATAAAGGCAAATTTTACTTATCTCTCAGTTTACAGGGGGCCTGGAGGAATGAATCAGTGGCAGTGAGTGACAGAGTGGTCTCAGCAGGAAGAGGTGGAGGCAACGCTGGGATTTGGAAATGCCTCTGTGAGTGACTCATGTTTGACTGCAGGTGACTTGCAGAATGATGCTGAATGATTCAGGATTGCCACATACACGGTTAGGATGCCACTAATCCCCATCCCACCCTCCTCACGGCGGGTCACAAGGGTCTGATAACATAATGGGAGTATTCCTTGAAAAAAATAAAGCCACCATGTAGCAATGAGGTGACATTTCAGCTATCTTACCAAGACACTCAATATGAATAGTGACATTCAGGTTCTGAACATCAGAAACAGCCAGGTTTCCCATCTCTCTTGAGACACTCCCCAAAAGTGAGGGCTTTGGTGGTGCTGGGGGCTGGGGCTAAACTGGAATCAGTGCCAAACTTAATAATAATTTCGGTAGCTTGGGGACCTGTCTTTAATCTCCAATTTAGGCATACACCTATGAGGTACTGTATCTGATTCTCTCTCTGAATGCAATAGTGATGGCAGGTACTGGCAGTCTGTTCTCTGTTAAGCTCACTTTCATTAGGTGGGAGAAACATGTAGCAAATTTGCCTTTGTAGCTGGCTGGGTGCTTAGCTGGAAGAAAGTGAACATCAAAGGACACATCCCTACCAGAAACTTAGGATCCTTATTTTAAAAAGGCCCTGTGCAAGGCTCTGGTTAGGACTAGGCTGTAACCAGCAGAGTTGAGAATAGAGAAGCCTTTTCTGGGATAGAATCTGAACATACTTCAGATGGTTTTTCAAAACAAGTAGGATCTCTTTTGAAATCAGATAAAGTCATGATAAAAAGAATTTCACTGTGACCATATCCTACATTTAGAGGTTAGCGCCCTTCAAAAAGAGGAGATGCAAAGAAGAGGGCAAGGGCTGATAGAACTTTCTGATTGTCTTATTTTCATTAGCTAATTAATTAAACATTTATTGAATGCCTACTATGTTGCAAGCCCTCTGCTGAGATCTATTTTTAAAACTTTACAATTATTTACTTTTTTGAATCTCAGTTGCCTCATCTTTAAATATATATATGAAAAAAAAGTCCAACTTCCTTCACCAGGTAGGGCCCTCTTAGGAGCAGGGGATTTGTCACTGAAGTTATGTCCCGGATACACTGGTTGGCAGTTCTTTGTAGTCATCTTGCTTTCCCTTTCTGTAAGAAGCCTTGCTTACTAGATTGCTTACATGTCCCTGTCCCCAAAGACCAGCAGACTGAAGTGGCTTCAGTTGTTTGGAGGGGAGTGAGTCCTGCAAATGAGGTTGGTTTAGTATAAAAGTGAAAGGTATGGGAATGCTCACCTTGTCTGTTGCAGCTTAGCTTGGGAAAAGTGGCCGGACTCCTTCAGTGAGGATGAAGGACTTTGAAGCTGCCAAAGCATATTGCCAACAGCATGCATTCACTTTTTGGGCAGAAACCTAGATTTACTAGAAGTCTAATTGTCCCCTGCTTACTGACATCAAGGCTTACGTCCTAAAGATTTGTTTCGTGGAATCTATGACAGGGGCTCTTACTAAGTTAGAGTGAGTGAATCTTGGGGGCTGAGGGAGAGACCAAATGGAGGCATGATTGGCCATGTTTCTTCTTGTTTGCCTGAAACTGTCATTGTGCCAGGTGGATATAGAATGTAGTATAGAGAATATGTTTGGAAGAAATATCAGGAAGCTGTTTCCTGTTCAGAAAATCAGCATGTGTGAATGTACTCCCACACAGACGTACTGACCATGATCCACTCAGGTGCTGCTGTGGACAGGAAGTTTTTCTTTCCTGGATGAGGATGTAATAAAGGCCAGGGGTTCCCCATATTTCTGTCAATTATTTCTGGCTTCTCCACTTGATACTTTGATCAACTAACCAGGTAATAGGCACCTTGCAAGGGAGAAGAAGGAGAAGAGATCTATCAGGGGAGAAACTATTCCTGGAGGGGTACAGCCCTCTGTGTCTTGCTTTCTCTGTTCCAAAAATATTCCTTCTCCACCGTTGCTTTGCCTGGTTTGGAGCACACTGGGCACAGGGTGGGTGATTTCCCCCATTAAACACCTCTGAGAGTCAATTGTCATCTTCAGTGAGACATGAAGAAAGAGGGCAAAGAAACGAAGCCTGTTTTCATGGTAGTTGCTCCTGAGTTGTGCCAGCTCATGATGCTCAGGGTGGCATCAGGCATGGTGCTCCAAGTGGCTGGGCTGAAGGTTATCAGTGCTGATACTGAGCGTGAGTGGGTGGAAACTAGGCACAGTCTTCCAAGGCAATGCAGTTTGTATGCCTACACATGCATGCATTTCTTTGGCCAAAGTTTCAGTTAATTTGTATACAAATTGGTTTTAGAAAGATTATTCTTGTTGGAAAGGCATGGGCTATCTGAAAGGTGACACTCTCATGGCTGGAAAGTGCTAGAGTCAGAAGAGGAAGATATCAAAACTGTAGCTGTGGGTAGAGATTGAATGGGATTAAGCAGTTAGCTAGGTTTAGAAAGAAAAAGGCAGAGAGAGGTGGCGAGCCCTTGTCTGTGATTTAATAGAATCAGGTTTGCCATACTTGGCTTGTGAGGATGCTCCTTTCTCTTAGATGTAGCCCTATAATTTGGGTATATTGTGGGCTGGTAAACAGAAGTACCAGAGAAATGGCCCCAGGGTCCAAACAGCAGTTTATATACAGGTGTGGGTCAGTGGAGAAGAAGATTCTTATGTTTTTCCAGTCAATTAAAACCTTTTCCAGAGGAGACTAAAGTCACAAGCATGACTGTGATCACTGCTTTTCTCTTTTTCTGCTTTTTCCTGAGCAGGGAGGTGCAGGACAACCCGGTGAAAATGAACTAGAGAAAATGGTGGGGTCACTCATGATCTAAATTGGCCTTTGAGGAAAACAATCCGCTCGTGGTGAGGCTAGACAAAGGGGGCAGACAAGCTGCCAAAACAGCTTTGGATGTGAATCTGGCTTGCAATTTGGGGGCTGCTCTGGAGGGAATGTTTTTGAAATAAAGATTTAGGATAAATTAGAAGAAAGTCCTCTGATTAAGACTGGAAATAAAAACCAGGTTAAACAATGAATATAGAACCGTCCAAGATAGAGAGCGACACCGAGCACATCTTGAAATTTTATTTAATTAAAAATGTGCTTTTAAAGAACTATTTACTTCAGCTTTTCAGATTTAAACCTTGCTGTTTAAAAAGTGGCCTTTTCTTGTGGGAAATTGTAAGCAGATGCGCAGGTAGACAGAATCTTTAACTGAACACCTTTGTTCTCATCACCCAGTCTCAATGGTGATTTACCTAAGACAAGCCTGCCCCATCCACGCACCGACGCCCTGTGCACACTTCCTTCCTTTCCTATTATTTTAAAGGAAATCCCATAAATCAAGTAATTTCACCTATAAATATTTCAGTGTGTTTTTCCAAAAGATAAAGTATTGCTCCTTTAATAAACAAGATAAACCTCTTGCTCATCCATCCCAGCCTGTGGGGAAGTGGATCGTTTGACAAGTGAGGTCATATTTAAGGTGATGCTGGCTCCCCTTGGGGATCCAGACCCACCAGCCTCTTGGGTTCCCAGTCTAGTGATGTAAACTACAAACAGAATAAAAAACGATGCAATGTGTAATAGCCTCTGTGTTGTGAGGGCCACTCCTAAGTGAGCACAGGACAGTCAGCCATCTAGGCTGTATTAACTGGGTCATTTAGCTCCAAGCAGACTTAAGTTACTAAATGCAGAGGAGGCAAAGAGAAATGAAGAGCCTTAGTATAGTCAGGGGGAAAGAGATGGGCTTTCATTTAAAACACACTTCTATTGTCTGTAATAGGGCAGGATGGGCCTAATTAGAAGTGGAACAACATAAATGCAAGCAGCACAAGCAGGTGGATCTGCTTCCTGCTTAGGAACCACTTGCAGGTTGAACAGAGCAAGGATGGAAGTTGGATGTGAGGCTGGAGAGCATCCCAAGTCCCTGATCGTTGCCTTCCCTCCCACGCTGTCACTGGGGTTCAAGGTCAACTGTAAGGAGGAAACAGGCAGGGGTGTGACAGTCTTCAGACTTGCCTTCCCAGGACAGTGTGACTTGCACTAACAAGTGCTTGTTCATGCTGCTTTTTTCCAGCATGGGCTCACAACAAGCCTGTGCTGTGACAGTTTTCCTTCCCCACTTTACAGTGAGGAAGCTGGTACAGCCACAGGCTAGGAGAGCAGGGGGTCACAGGGCTGCAGATGCGATCCAGGGATAAGCCATTGGCATTGCCCCTTGTAGGTTTCATACTTTCAGAAGCGAGGTTCCCTCTCTGATACTTGAGTCCTGGCTATGAACCACACTCTGATGGCTCCATCTGGAAGCCCTGTTCCAGACTGAACCCCTCTGTGGCTCCTAAGTAGGGCCAGCTTCACCATGAGTCCATGCCTGGGAAAAGGCGGGTGTTTCAGTCTGCTAATTATGGGATTCAAATTCCAAGTGGATAGATGAGACCCAAGTGCCTCCATAACTCTGCTTTTCTGTGTGAGCTGGGACTTCAGTCCTCTAAGCTTTTATCTAGCAGGAAGAACCTTTACCATTTCCTAGACCTCCAGGGAATTTTCTATCAGAAAGTTATCCAGAAAGTTATCACAGAGAAGAAAATCACAGGATCAAAGTCCAAAGGCACATGTGTGAGTCCCAGATCTAATACTGGTTAACTTTTGGACCTTCAACTTGTCATCTTTAGAAAGGGACAATAGTAGTGGTACTTGCAGGATTGTGTGTAAGTCAAATTAGATAATGTAATCTTTAAGAACATTACATATTTTATTGTTTATGTTGTTGTCATTATTATTTAAAAAGTCATTAGATTTATACATCAAACATGGCATGGTCTGCCTCTCTGTAGGATGACGTTACTACATCCACCAGCTAAAAAAAGAATATTCTAATCCTGCCATTCATTGGCTGGTATAATTTCAATGAAGCCTACCACTCCTTCCTCCCTCCATCTCATAAAAAATTGTAAAAAGAATCTTCCTGATAATTGGTTATAACAACACCAATTCTAAATTCATTCTAATTTTAATTTCCTGGCCTCAATTCAATTGTTCTGGAGTAGGCTGTTTGCAGTTTTTCCCCACTGACTTTCTTTTCCCTGAGAACACAGAATATTTACAAGGTACAACATTTTCCTTTAAACAGATTTTTTCCTAAAATCCAAATGTTATTAATGGATTATTGATCTCTCCTGAAAGACACTGACCCAAAGAGCAGGCACAATTTAAAAATCATGCAGTTATAGTGTCTTCAAAAGTAGGGTTCATCTATTTGTTTATTCAACAACAATTCGCTGAGCGTTTACCATGTGCCATGCCCTTTGCTAGGCATTATGGAAAATGAAAAGGTGAAAAATTCA
Organism: Homo sapiens; assembly: GCF_000001405.40. NCBI lineage: Eukaryota > Metazoa > Chordata > Mammalia > Primates > Hominidae > Homo > Homo sapiens. Next base: position 23,072,502 of record NC_000002.12, on the reverse strand, counting down.
GGTTCTTAGCCTCAAGGAACTTACATCTAGGAAGCAGATAGAAAAACAAGCAGATGGCTAGAAAATGTGTGAGAAGATAAAGGGAGTGGTGGGTTTTGCCTGGAAGGACAGAGACGGCCTCCTGGTGTGGTTCACTTCTTACCACTCCACATCCTTCTTTGTGTCCCTGCTTTGCTCACTCCTACAGACCTCACTTCGGAGTCCACTGGCCCAGAGGCCTCTCAACTACAGGTGGATGTGGCCACCTCCCGTCTTGGATGCTATAGCTCTCATTTACGCCTTCCCCAGCACGGAGACTGTGACTTATAGGCTGTGACTTATAGGCTTTGGGTATCTGTTCTTAGGGATTCCATAGTATTTCCAGGAAGGCCTCTGGGAGCGTAGGCAGAGGGAGGCTGGATCTAACCCATTTCACTGACCCCTCCTCTCTCCAGCTGGCAAGGCGGCATGAACCAAGGGCTCAGAGTCCTGCTGGTGATGGAGGGATGCTTGAGACTTTCTGAATCCCAGGACTGTTGTGAACTTGAAAGAGGAAGTGTTAGGACATAGATCAAATGGGCCATTATACCTAGGTCTTCACTGAGCACCTAATGTGTACTCATTTTTGTATTGGCCAAGCTGAGCACGCTGGAGGTGGGGCAGCAGTGGTGGAGTGGAGGCTCCCAGGGAACCAGAAATGAGCAGAGCAAAATGCTACATGCTTAATTCTGTGCTGAGCCTTGCTGGAGTCTGTGAGTGGGGTGGGGATGGGCTGTGGCCTTCCAGAAGTCCAAGCTGCATAGGGGTAGTGTGTGGGAATATCTGGGTGAACAGGACAAGTTAAAAATCCCCAGGCCACATGTAGGCAAGAGCTTGGCAAGGTTAAAGGTGCTCAGAGGAGTAGAGACTCTTCAGTCTGCAGTGGCTAGAGAAGATTTTGGAAAGAGGGCGGGACAGAGAGTTAAGGTTGGAGCTCAAAGCTTCTGAGGGTTGTTGAGGCTAAGAGGGGTTGCATGATGTCACTTTTGTGTCTCTGGATTCCTCCAGGTTTAGAGGTGGTGCTTTGTAATATTGATTGATCAACGCATGAGTTTTGGGTTGAGTTCAAGACTGGAGAGAATCCCAAAGGTCTCTTTTGTACATTCCACTGCTTTACTTTCTCATTGTGTTCATTTCCTTGCCCTAAATAGAGATAGTGGATGCTCCCCGTGTTTAATTAGATTTTATTTTTTAAAATTCTATTGGAAATCATTTTTAACGGCTCTCCATAGCGTAAGGTTTATTTAGCCAAGTGTTGGGCATAGTATATTCTGAACAAATGCTTGAAGTGACTACCTTGTATGAATTACTCCCCATCTATAACTCAATCTGTATTTTTTGTGGATCTCTGGACTGGTATATCTAATTATTTGCCAGACATTTACCTGTGTAGCCCATAGGCACTTCAAATTTATTGTTCTAAAACTTTTCTTCATCTCTGTCGCCCCTGCCACCCACCTCACCACATGTAATCAGCCTAACCCTCCTTCCTCAAAACCAGCATAGCCAAAACACTAGGGCATCTCTGGCTCTTTCTTTCACTTTGCTTACCCTCTGCCTAGAGTTTGGGTCTGTCTCACGCTTTTAGCTATGAAATTACTTAATCCTGCCCTTTCTTCCCCTGCTTTGCTGCCACTTTGGCGAAGCTTAGCCAGCATGTTGCTGAGGTAGAATATAAGTTGACGTGCTGGCCTGAAAGGAAAATCTCACTCATCAGTCCCTTGCTTTAACCCCTGCTGGTGGATTTGTCCATAGAATGAGAACCAAGCTTCTAACCATGGCTCACGAAGTCCTCACCTTCTTGCTCCCATCTGCCTTTCCAGCCTCGCTTCCTCATGCCCCGAGCAAATTCTGGATGATCTTGAAAGTGCCGCCTATGTGTCATGCTGTCTTTTCCTGTGCCCCCAAATATGCTGTCTTACCCTTTCCTCATTTCTACATCTGGAAAATTTGGCCTCTGAGACCTGGTATTATTTCCTCAGCAAAGTCTTTTCTGACTGCTCCAGCCAGGGTCACCCCCTCACGTGGGCTTCCGTGCCACCTTGGATTACCACATTTTATCATAATTATATTTAAACGTGTATTATGATGATCTGTCAGACTGAGAGGGAAGGGATTACTGTCTTATCCATCACGGACACTTCAGTACCAAGCTGAATGCTCTGTAAGTATTTGTTAATGGTTAAAATAGAAAGGAGCTTAGATCTTTAAAAAAAAATCTCTCCTGGTTTAATTATTCTTAAATTCATTTATTTATTCATGCATTCATTCGCTCCCTGTACAAACATTTACTGAGTACCTACTATGTGGGAACTCCCCTCCCTTCCCCTAGGCAACAAAGCCTTGATTAAACAGACATGAAAGAGAAACAGCTGCCAATCTGTTCTCCAGGAAGCTCTGCTCCACGGGCCTTCATTTAAGAATCCTGGAGCTTCAGTTTCCTTTCGTCAGCTTTTTTTCTTAATGGCCAAACTCATGGTGTCAGTGACAATGGATTCTGCATTAGTATTAAAAATTTATTCAATAAATAATGGATTAGAACCTCTGTTTAATAATTATTGATGCACTGCAGTTTCAGTTGCCCAAATCTCAAGATGTTTTAAACATAACTAATTGAAAACACAATTAACAGCAACTTGCTGAAATAAATCTGAAAGGCAGAACACCCTTGAAAACCTCAGACTATCAGAAAAAAAGTTCAAAAGCGGCCCTCTCCCCTCACCGCCCCAAGAGCAGGAGTTGATGCTGAACCCCAGCAGGGAAGGATGGTGGTCCCTAGCAGGGACCCCGTCTGGGACTTGGAAATTGGTTTAATAGCAATTTCTCTGTAGATACTGAAACTTCAGGTGACCACTTTATCATGCCTGGGGACAGAAGGGATTTGCCTCTCCAGTATGCTGTGCTCACATATATCAGATGGGCCTTTAGAGAGAGGTTGATTTGGTGACCTCATTATGCGTAAACTCAGCAAAAGAAGTCCAGACCCTGGGATCTGGGCATGCGTTGGGGCTGGATGTTGTCTCCAACCTGGTGAATGACAGATCTGTGGCTGGGAGACCTGGACTCCCAGCATTGAACTCTGTGCTCACTTACAGGCCCTGATGTCCCCATGTTCTTTCTGTGACTGGTTCTGTGTTATCCTGACTCAGCAAAAACAGAACTGCTGGGTCTTTGGATCGAGGGCTTGCAACAAGTGCCCTTTGGATTTCTTGCTTCAACAAAGAGAGAAGCTCTTTGTTGTCTTTCTCCCTTGCTTCAGCAAAGGGAGAAAATGCATTGAGGCTTTCAGAGGATGGACCCTGGGCTGGTTGTTGGGCTCCAGGACCCTAGAGGGGCCCTGAAGAAAGGCAGTGGCTTTTTTTGTCTTTTTACACCTGTTCTTATTCTACTTTTGATTCCAGGAAGGTCTTCCTGCTCACATTTGCTTTTGGGCTTGGGTATACTTACCTCCTTATTTCCATCAGTCCTTCACAGGTTTTTAAAAATTTTTTGTAGATATTCAGTGAGACATTGTAGGGAAGTTGATCCACTATGGGGTCAGCCAGTAGCAGGCACTCAGCACGTGGCAATTCTCCTTCCACTGCCAGCCTTGTCTACTGCCTCTGCATGGTGAATCCATCCTCAGGATGGTCAACTCTGCCGTGGGTGTGCTTTCAACAGGATAATAATACAGTTCTTGGACACATGGATGTTATTCCTGGAGGTAGCTAAGGAGGAAGCTGCCCCACTCTGGGGTTCAGTCTGGAGAGCAGCATGGCTGGGCTTGAGATATGGGTCAGGGCGCAGTAAGCAATGTGACCAGAGATGTAGAATGAGGATATATTGCAAAGTACGTGGAGAGCTAGGCTAGCAAGTTTGAGAATCACCGTAAGGGGGACAATGAAGAATTTTTAAGCTAGAAGGTAGCATGGACTTTGGCTTAAATTGTATACCATAGAGCAGTGGTTCTTAAACTTTATTGAGCATCAGGATTATCTGGAAGGCAGGCTGAAACATGGGTACTGAACTCTACCTCTAGAATTTCTGATTTAGTAGTTCTGGGATGGGGCCTGAGAATTTACATTGCTATGATGCGTCCAAGTAATGTTGATGCTGCTGGTTCAAGGACTACACTTTGCTCTTCTGTAGAGGATGCCCTGGGGGTGGGTAGGCCTGGAGACATGGAGCCCTTTAGGAAATTGGTACAATAATCCAGTTGTGAGATGATGCCAGCTTGATTTAAAGCTGTGACTCTAGAAAGAAGGGGAGATACCACAGAAGAAGGATCAGTAACATTTGATGGTCCAGCTGGATGAGTGGGAAATATTGGAGACTCTTGCAAGGTTTTTCCCACTGGTAACATGAGAAGCATGATAGTGCTTCTCATAGGGAAGGGCATGGGATAGAGGTATCCTGGTCAGGATGGAGGAAAGTTGTCTGGCTGATGGTTCCAAATGATCCCAAGTGCAGGTGCAAGAAACCTAGGGTGAGTGGCTGCATTCTAGCTGGGCCTTTTTGGTGCGGTAGTGGCCTGAAGAGGGAATATTTCCAGGAAGGTACCATAGGGCTAGCACTGGGGTGAGTTAAGCAGGGTGTCTAATGTATAAAATTGAGAGAGACACCCACTGTCAGGGTCGTGCAAACTTTGCCTGACTCTGAGTATGAACTCCTCATTAAATTTTACCACCTAGGTGCCTCACTTGACTCGCCCTGGCTATAAGGTTTTGTGATGCTGTTGCTGTTGTTTCAAGCCTGGAAGGAGCCTAGTGAGGTCAGCATGGTGAAAGGAGGGCTGCAGAGCCCAGCATTGGTATTGAATCCCATCATTGGCATTTCAGTCCTTATTAGAACCAACGATGAGATCATCGTTTAGCCAGAGGCTACCATACTCCCGCACACAACTTGTATTGATCCAAACCTTGTAATGCACAGGGTTGCTGAATGGAGCTGAGCACAGAGATGGCTGGAAAGTCTTTCAGGTCTAGAGCCTTCTGTGGAGAATGTGCACGCATGTTCCTAAGGTGTTAGCAACACCTGGTATTTCTGTACTGGCTGAGCCAATGGGAAGAGCCAGCTGTTCTTCAGAAGACCAAGGATCAAGTCTTGCAGCTTCTTTCTTGAACATACTTTTAAATATACTGTTTTGGTTGTTGTTTGTTTTTGTTTCTGTTTTTGTTTTAAGGACTTAATCTATGGAGCTCCATCATGCAACCAAAGCAATCCAAGTTTAATCTCTGAGCATTCATCTCTCAAGTTCAGATTTTTCTTCCCGCTTCTCAGCTGGAGCATTCCCTAACTTCTGAATGTCTAAAAATACCCAGCGTGGTTCCCTCTACAAAACACCAGCACCCTGCCAGCTGTTAAATAAATAAACTCGAAAAAAATGCTGTAGTTGTGAAATAAGATATATTTAATTAAATAAAAAAGGAAAAGCAAGTGCTATTACAAGAACATAAAACTGTAAGGCATAAGATAAAAACTAAATTACTACAAGGCAGCTCGATCCAATCTAATCCTTGAAGATAAAGATGAAACCAGAAAATTGCATGTATTGAGAAATCAGCATAAGCCCTGAGCAAATATTAACTAGAGATCTATAAACTGGTTGATTATAAACAGTATGATGAGCATTAGGATTAAGGAAGGAAAAGGAAGCAGAGCCACATTGGGGTAAGGGGGACTTGAGTTCATATCTCCAGTCTGCTTGGTGCGAGCATTTATGGGATGATCTTGTTAGAGTGACTTGTCCACTAGCTAATTTCAGTAAATCCAAGAGGAAAAAGTGAACGGTGTAAAGGTATCTGGCAATTTCTATCTATCATCTTTTGAAAGACTCAAAGATTGATGTGATCTCATCTTACCAGGCTATAAAATGGAGCCTGTAGATAAAACGTTTGCCTTTTACCATGGGTTTCAAAGTTAGCTATTGGCACGATTTTAACAGTGTATTTAAGCATGAAGAATGGGCCAATTACATGTTAAGTAGCCTTTTTTAACGGTTCTAATAAAGGTCCATTTAGACGTTTATACTGACAACTCAATTCTTTGGAAGGGCATTTTTCAAGTTACCCGCTAAAAGAGGACATTTCACGGTTAAAAAAAATAAAAATTAAAATTAAAAAAAGCCTGCTATTAGCTGGAGAATGTTGCTCCAGCTTTCAGAGATGTGGTTTGTACAGAGGCCAGCCTTCTGATGGAGAAGTTAGCAGCAGCAGCTGGAAAAATCAAGCTAATTCACAGGTGAAGATGTCCTCTTTGTCACGGTTTCAGGCTCTGGGATAAAGCTGCTCCATTGAGAGCATTCAAGCATGTCACACCCCACACGGGGAGCTTCTGAATACAGTCTGAATGGGAAACAGACTCTGCAGAGTGAGAGGGGCGGCTCCCATGGGCGGAGAATGCAGCCCTCCATCACATCAAGGTCCAGGAACAGCCAGGGCTTAGGCGGGAATGGGAAGACCTTTTGGGGACCGAGTTAGCGTTCTTAGGCCCCTGGGGATGTAGGTGACCTGTGGACTCAGAAACATGACTTGTTCTTTTATGCCTCTAGTGCGACTCCAACTAAAGTGTTCCTGACAGAAAGAGATACTTATGTGCTCTTAGCTCTGGAAAAGACACTCCACAACCTCCTGGAGTCAGGAGCTAGATTTGAGTCTTGTCTTTCATTCATTGTGAGTCTTCTTGGGGCTTTACACTCTTGCTGCCAGCTCCTTGAAGATAGGAAGGAGCTTGTAGTAGTTGGCTAGGGCTTCCAAAATGAAGTACAACAGACTGGGTGGCTTAAACAATGGAAATTTATTTTCTCACAGTTCTGGGGGCCAAAGTCCAAGATCAAGTGTGTCAGGACTGGTTTCTCCTGAGATCTCTCTCCTTGGCTGGTAGATGGCTGTCTTATTGCCGTGTCTTCACACGGTCCTCACTTTTTGTGTGTCTGTCCTCATCTCCTCTTCTTATAAGGATATCTGATTCTTATAAGTGTTAGGGCTCAGTGCAATGACATCATTTAACCTTAATCACCTCTTTAAAGGCCCTATCTCCAAACCAGTCCCATTATGATGTACTTGAGATTAGAACTTCAACATAGGAATTTTGGGGAGAGGCAATTCAGCCCATAACAGGATTGCATCTTAACCCTGTTTGTATAACTGGGAATGTAAATATACCACATCTACTTATTCTGCCTCCAGTTATTTGCTCAATACATGAGGGGCAAAAAGTAAAGCTCATGTTGTCCCCCATTCTGGTTTTTTTTTTGAGATGGAGTTTCGCGCTTGTTGTCCAGACTGGAGTGCAATGGCGTGATCTCGGCTCACCACAACCTCTGCCTCCCTGGTTTAAGCGATTCTCTTGCCTCAGCCTCCCGAGTAGCTGGGATTACAGGCATGCGCCGCCACACCTGGCTAATTTTGTATTTCTAGTAGAGACGGGGGTTTCTCCATGTTGGTCAGGCTGGTCTCGAACTCCCAACCTCAGGTGATCTGCCTGCCTCAGCCTCCCAAAATGCTGGGATTATAGGTGTGAGCCACTGTGCCCGGCCGTCCCCCATTCTGTTTATGGAGAATGGAAGGGAAGGTGTCCTGTATATGAATTTCTGTTGCAAGGTAAGAAAACTTACTTTCAAAGTATCTGCAAGTGTGATTCTCAACCATGCCTGAGCTCCACCTCCAGGGCTTCTCATCTACTTTACTAGCTCATGGGTCAGACGTGGATTTTTTTTAAAGCTCCTCAAGTGATTCTAATGTGCTGCCAGGACTGATAAACCACAGTTCTCAGGATTTCTGGGTGCAAAAGGGTGACCCTCGAGGGCAGGTGACTTGTTTGGCAAGTCATTTCGGATGCATTGGTAGACCCCTGGGAGTGGTCTGGAAGCAGGAGAGAAGCCCTCTAGCTGTTTTGTGTGATGATGTATGGAGGATCCTCATGGTGGTCAGGGAAGAGTATTTGTAGATTTGGCCCAAGTGTCTCATAGGAAAGGAGAGTCCCAGGACTTTATAAAGGGAAATGATCATGGGGAGTCCTGGGCTGATTCAAGGCACCAGTGAGGTTATTCCAGACAGAATAAGTTAAATCATGGGAAGAGTGGAGTCTCAAGGATTGTCGTTGAGCAGAAGGGTTGGATGAAAGGCTGAGCCCAGTCTCCAGGGATAAAGTGTGTGGCATGTTAAAAATGGAAGGACAGAAGAGGGACTCTCTTTCAGAAGAAGGGGTTAGCTGACCTCAGCTCTGGGAAGCAATGCTAGGAACTGGGGTGTGGTGGTGAGAATAACTCCTGTAAAGAGCTTATTAGTTCTTTCGTATTTTTGTACAATCGTGTTGTGTCTCATTTACATTTTACCACCTCTCTATTATTCCTCAGAGTTGCACACAAACATTTCATAGATTCTGTCCATAATTCCAGCCTTTGTAGAACAAAGGGAAGGGCCAGAGAGGGAGGGGCATGTGGCTGCTCTTGCCCTCCCCTGCCCTGACTGTGGTGGTGGTGGTGGGGCCGGCGTATGGTGCAGGAATTCTGTCGGGATGCACTTTAGAAACAAGTGGGGGCTTTTAAAAAACACTAGTGTCTGGGCCCAACCTGGACTAGTTACAACTGCTTCCAGGAGTGGGGAACCAAACAGCAAGGGCTGACAGCCTGTGATACAGATGGGTGGAAGTCCTGTAGCTCCAGACAGGGAAGGCCTAAGACCTAGGACAACTCTGGGAGACGCGTGATTGAGAAAGAGTGGGTGAGATGGGCCTGCCTTACTGCTTTACAGGTACTAGATGAAGGTCAGCCACAATGCGTTAGTGAGAGTGAGATCTGGACTACTTTTCTACTCCTAGCACCTGGTAAAGAGCTTAGTATGGAGGCCAGCATAATTTCTGCACTGCTTCTCTGGATACTTGTGTTGGAATATCTGCCAAAATGCTCGAAAAGTATGATCAAGCAGAAGTAGTACAACTACTAATGCACAGAATTGTTTTCTTATGTTTCATCCACATGCAGCCTATTTCAATTCCCCCTACTGTATTCTTGATAGGGACTGATTGACCACAATCCTTCACATCAGTAAATACTTACTGAATATTATGTGCTCAGCACATTGACTTCCAGGAAGCTACACTTGAGTTGTCAGGATAAAGTACATCCACACGAAAATATCAATTTTCACCCAAGTCCAAGTGCTTTGGGAACAATTTGTTGCATACCTGGTGCAGGCACTTAGAGGAAGGATTGCTCCCTGAGGGCTGGAAGGAAGTTGGACCCACAGATAGTTAGAAGCTTGAGCTAGACCTGACAGGATGAGGTTGTTATGTGGCTGGGGAAAGGGAAAAGGTCTTCTTGGTATAAGTGAGCACAAGGGGGACAGATGTGGTGTATATTATGGGGTGTGGGATAAGGTAGTGGTACATAAAGCCTGACTGCACTGGGGATGATGTAGGCAATGCCACAATGCTGGGTGCTTTGGGGGCATTAGGCAGAAATGGGGGTGACTGGTAGATGGCTGGTTTGTTATTACTTGGTTATCTGATCTTGCTCCACTGAACTCCCTATGCTTCCATCTCTACAGTGCCATGACAATTAAGACAGTGAACCACTGAAAAGCTACCAAAGACATACATCACTGAGGTGATGAACACTAAGTTGACATAGATGGGATGGGAGCCATTGAGTAGAAATCAAGGGGCAAGAGGCTGATGGGGAAGACGTAGTTGCTTTGTTTTAATGATGAAAGTGGGAAAAGATAAGATGTAGATGATGTTATTCTGGACTCAAAGGCCCCTTAAAGTATTCTTGTCTCTTCTACTGACTCCTGTTACGTGACCACATTCCTAACTCACCTTAAGGAGTCCTATTTTCTTTTCTTTTTTTTTTTTTAGGAGTCCTGTTTTCAAGTCATTCACTGTTTTCTTGCATTTTTCAAGATTTTCAAGTTTCTCTTAATCCCTCGTAAATCCTGTGCATTTCAGAGGTAATCTGGAGAGTTTCAGAATGCCCTAGAGATGTTGATAAATCTCCAAATACTTCATTTGCTGGAGAAGCTTTTTCATCATCCACCCCTGCATTTAATTCATTTAATTCCAGTGTGTATGTGAGTGGTGGTGTCCCATGTGCAGGAGCCAGGTACTGACGGAACACAAAGTAAATCAAACTCCAGGCCTCACTTCATGGGAGAGAAGTGGGCTATACAGGAATTTCTATGAAGCACATTTTAAAATAAGATATCTATTTGTAGGAAGAAAAGTAACTCTGGTTTATATAGGATGTAATCATACTTAACTGACAAGCTTTTAAAAAATCATCCCTTTGTAAGAAAAATAATGCACAAAGTTAAATCAACAAGGCTTTGCTAGTCACAATAAAGCACCAAATTTAAGGGAAAAGAAAAACTTTAAAACTGAATGTCTAGGTCAAAAATCATGTTATGGCAAGGGCTTTTGTAGAAGCTCTTCAGCCTGATTGTTTGCATCCAAGGGAATGCTTTTTTTCTCATTGTTTGAACTTGCCAGTCAACTCCCCATCTCTGAGGCCCTGAGGACCTGCAGACGATGTCAGAGGACTCCTCGGATGGGGAGGAGAAGAGCTCAAGGCGCAGGGGCCCAGTTAGCAGAAAAGGACTGGTGGGTTACAAGCTTGTGCCTGTGCAGACTGTCCTATTCCTGTCCTGACTCCTTCTTTATCTAGTGAACTGGCAGCGTTGGCCTCATTTGGAGCTTTATAAGGATGTCACAGGACATCTATTTTGCTTAGTGAAGATGCCCAAACTGGAGCAGAGGGCAATAGCGAGAGAGGCAGGCACTCCCACACAGCCTCCAAATTTGGGCATGAGGACCAGGCAAAGTTGCCGTGAAAAGTAGCAGTGAATTTCTGTGACGGCAGTGGGATGTGAAGTAGTGAAAGTTCCCAGGGGAAGACAGTGCATCAGGAAATGCTCTGTTGGGCTGTTTGAGGAACACAGGGACAAGGAGGTCTGTGCCTTCCAGAGTCACCTAATAGCAAACACTCAAACCAAAGCTCCTTGCTGGGAGGTGGCAGGGAGAGATGATCAGCCTCAGCAGCCTAGAGCAATTTGTCCTCTTGATAAGGTAGGTATGGGACGAGAAAGGTTTACCCAGGGTGACATGTGGTGTATGGGATGGAAAAGTGTGCTGGCTCAGGAGCCTGGCTGCTGACCCCAGAGACAAAGGGAGGTGCTGATATTGGCAGGGGGAAGCCTCAAGAAACAAGGGGGGCTGGGCGCGGCGGCTCACACCTTAGTCTCAGCACTTTGGGAGGCTGAGGTGAGAGAATCACTTGAGTCCAGGATTTCGAGACCAGCCTGGGCAACATGATGAAACCCTGTCTCTACAAAAAATACAAAAATTAGCTGGGAGTGGTGCTGTGTGCCTGTAGTCTCAGCAACTTGGGAGGCTGAGGTGGGAAGATTGCTTAAATCCCAGAGGTCGAGGCTGCAATGAGCTGTGATCGTGTCACTGCACTCCAGTCTAGGTGACAGAGCGAGATCCTGTCTCAAAACAAAAACAGTGAAGTCTTCCCCTGACTTTCCAACTTCTACCCAATGTGCCAAGGTTGGCCCAGGCCCTCTGGTCCCATTGGTCCCTGCCTCTCCATTCTAGGGGAGTGATGTGTATATGTGTGTGTGTGTGTGTGTGTGTGTGTGTGTGTGTGTGTGTGTGTGTGTAGGGTGGGCAGGACCTGGAATAAAAGGGCATATGCAAGCCTCCCCAGAAACCGGCCCACCCTTACCTTTTTCAGTGCAAGGGAGGCCAGCTGGAGAGGTGGGTTGGAGGTCTAAGGAAAGACCTGCTGCCTTAGTATGAGCAATGAGGACAAAAAGATTGGAGTGAGTATAAGGAGGTATCTCACTTTTCTAGGGCTGCCCTAACAAAATACCAGAACCTGAGTGGTGGAACTACAAAAAACAGAAGAAATGTTTGGTCTTAGTTCTGGAGGCCAGGAGTCTGAGATCAAGCTGTCTGTGCCAGGGTTGGCTCCTGCTGAGGGCTCCAAGGAGGTATCTATTCCAGGCCTCCCCGGCACCCCCGGCTTCTGGTGTTTTGCCGGTGGTCTTTGGTGTTCCTTGGCTTGTAGATGCAACCACCCTGCGTCTCCAACTTCATCTGCATGTGGCGTTCTCCCTGGAGCATGTCAGCCTCTGTGTTTGAATTCTTCCCTTTTGTAAAGACGCTAGTCATAATGGATTAGAGGTTCACCCCAATGACATCTGAACTTGATCATTCCAAATTAGGTCACATTCACAGGTACTGGGGGTTAGAACTCCAACGTCTTTTTGGGGGACACAATTTGACCCATAATGAAGGACAATGATGCCACTGGGTCATAGGTGAATGAGGAAGGGCATGGGTTTTAGGAACAGGCTGGGGTGTAGCCCTGCAACATGGTTTCAGGGTTTCAGGGTGAATGCTGCTTCACAGAGTTAGTATGAGGGTGATATTTACAGGCCCCTTGATTTTTGAAGGGGACGCACATATCAGTTGTTATAGCAATAATGTGCTGCCTACATGTTCTCTCACTGAAGGGAGAAGTTATATCCTTATTCTCTTGTTTTCTCAGCTGTGAAGTGGGTTGATTAAATAGTGCATTAACCTGGCATGCAGTCCCACAGCGTGGTGGCTATACAAAAGGGTAGCAATGTATCTACTGACCACAGGGCATGTCTAGATCTAGGGGCCAGGGAGTTAAGATCAACTAGAAATAGAAGACCCAGGGAGTTTCATTAGGCTATGAAGACAAGAGAAGTGGACCTGACTAGATGTGCTCAGGTAGGGAGGAGAGCAGTTACTGTGCGGGTCAGCACTGAGAAATGACATGTCCTGAATCTTTGCCTTCAGTTGTTCCAAAGGATGCTATTTTACAGACACTTCCTGGCCACAGTGCATGTCACAGTCCTGTCCTGGGTCCCCTTAGCTGTGAACTCTGAGTTCCCTCCTAGAAACGGGAGCCTGTGACTTGCTCCTAGAAGGTCCCAGGACTTCAGCTGCCCCACAGTGAAGGGCCATCTATATTAGGTTGGTGCGAAGGTAATTTCTACTACTTTGGCAAAAACCACAATACTTTCACACCAACCTACTATCTCGTGAACCATTTCTGAATTCCTTTCTTTGGTAGCACTAATGTTCATAAATATATACTCACCTTTAGTCTTCTAACCTAAATAAAGGGAGCCATTCATTCAAGGTCAGTGACCAGCACCCCCCTACTGACCTTGATGGTGGAACCCTGGCAGGTGTTTTGGTCAGCGTCACCCTGTGCCTCACAGAGCCTGTGGGTGGCCTGGGCTTTCTATGAACGTATATGTTACCTTTGGGATTTCTCTCCTGCCCCCCCAGTCCTATTCTTGGTTGTTCCTATCCTCGTCATTGTTCTTAGACTGACTTCTTATGTGAAGACGATAAACGCACACCTTCCACTGCAGCCCAGAAGGGTCAATAGAGGAAGCAATAGCAGGTGAGTTTTTTCTTCTTCTTCTTCTTGCTTGGTTCTGAAGCTGAAAAACATTGCAGCATACTTCAAACTTGAGCAGTGGCTGTGAATGTATTCACTCTTAAATTCATCTGTGAGGTTATTATATGCAGCTTTGATGTTACAGCAAGACTGCCTGGGTCGTTTTGTTCCAATTACTCAGTGCAGAGGAGGAGAACTTCCATGCCGCTCAAAGGTGCCCAACTTTGATGTTTTGTCGAGGTTGCCCTTCTTGGGGCTGATGCATCAGGAGTGACGCAGGGCAGCTGGGGCATGTCTGGGTGGCGGGGCTGTAACCTGGGTGCTCTGCACACATAGCACCCTGGCTACCTCAGCTCTGAGCAGCCGTGGTAGGGGAGAGCTGTAAGTGAGGGCCTATCAAGCACATTTCCCATCGCATCACAGAGGATTTGGAAATAACCTCATTTTCCTCAATTAGGAAGATGGAGATTGTAATGGCTGTACTTTGCTCTCCTCAGACTTCTTTCATCTCTGCATCGCAAAGTGCTCTGAAAGCATGATTAACGAAGCTTCCCAACTCCCCAGCCCAGCAGGCGTCCCGCTACCCACTTCAGTCAAAGCTAAATGGTTGAGGCCAGCTCCCTGGGTGGGCACAGGGTCATAAGAAATCCTGCTGACCCCCACACAGGGCCAGGACAGTGGCTGGACACTTCACAGGATGAGGGTGGGGAGGGAATGAGAGGCAGCCCAATGCAGGGGAGATTTCTGGGCTGGGAGGCGAGGGTCTGGGAGCAGCCGTGGCTGTCCCGCTCACCTGTTGTCAAAGTGTGGACCTGCCGCTACTACAGCCACTACTCTTAGCCAGGTCTCAGAGCAGTGTGTGAAAAATTAGAAGTGGATTTTGATGTCTCAGATTCCTCCCAGCCCTGCCATTCTGAGTTGCCTGGTAGCCTTGGAATTCTCAGGCAGGCGGGGTCTCATCCCTTGATGATATCCTCACTCAGAAGCCATGGTGCTCCTGGTTGCTGTGGGATGCTCATGCCTCCCCTCTCCCAGAAGCTCCCCACATCACCTGCATCCTCCATTGCTACTGTATTCATAGTGCACGGGCTTCCACATCCAAATTCCGCACACAACACCTTCCACACCCAAATTCCGCACACAACAGATGGCCTCTCTGTTCAAATCATCCACTACCAGCTTGGCCTGCCTTCCAAACCTTGCCTTCCATTCTTGCTCTCCTCTGCCTTTCCTCTAAGCAGAAACGCCAGCTCATTGTGGAGTTTTGCCAGACTGGATTGCCCCCTTTGGTTCATTTGAGTCAGACCCCTTCCTCCAAAATCCTCCTAGTCTCTTGCAAAACCTTGGATTGTTTGTTCAGGCATGGGCAGCCTCACCTACTGTGCTTTCAGAGCCTTTGTCACCTGCCGGTGGTCCCTCTCCCTGTTCCAATGCACTGTCCTAGGTATGCCATGGGTTGAGAACCAAACTCACTAGTGTTTAAAATGTAGGTTTAAAAATAAAATTATCCAGTTCTATATTTATGAATTGGCATATGCTGTTGGGTCTCAGTATCTCCCTCCCTCCCTCCCTCTCTCTGTCCCTCCCTCCCTTCCTTCCTTCCTTTCTTCCTTAACCCCGCCCTCCTTTCTTTCTCTCTCTCACTTTCTTTCCTAATGGTAGGCAACTCACAACTTGTGCCATAAGTGATATTGAACAGATGGAGCTGGTCTCTAGACTGGTTAATATATTCAGACAGAAAATATCTCAATTCTGACTCTAGGGTTACACCACTGTCAATGGGTCTGTGAGATAATATCTTTTCTCAGAGCTAAAAGTGCTCAAACACTGCCCAGACATGGGCCATGTGGCCAAACATTTGGTGTTAGTTCTGAAATTCATAGATTGATACCCAGAATTCCAGGGATAGTGTGTCTTCTGTGTGGGAATTTTTAGCGTAGTCAGTACTTCTTGAGTGTCTCCTGTGGCTATCCCTGACAGTGTACCTAGCACATATCACATATCATGAGTCACATTCTTCAACATTCCTCAGTGAGGTTAGATTAAGCCTAGTTTCCCCACACTACACAATCATCGTTTTCCTTTTCTTATGTGTTAATAGAGCACTGCTTTTGAATAGGAGCAGCATGTGTCCAACTAAAGATTATGATTCCCAGCTTCCTTGCAGCTCAATATGGCTACGTGAGTGGCCAACGAGAAGGATATTGTTGTGTGGAACTTCAGGGAAAATTCTTTAAAGGTGACTGACTTACCCAGGGAATGTGCCCCGCTGGTTTTTTTCCCTTTTCTCTCTCTTGCTGGGGAGGGTCCTTGGACTTTGAAGAGCAAAGTCACATATTAAAATGAAAATGCAAAAGCTTAGAGGGTCTCTGATGACATCAGATCTGGACTTTCTACTTTTGAACTTATTTTATGTTAGAGAATAAACTCTTCTGGGTTTAAGCCAGGATTGTATGTGTGTGTGCATGCATGTGTGCATGTTAAGCCCACCTATTTCTAACAAATATACCAGATAATTTTTTAATATTGATGAAAACTGACCAATGACTAAGCCGTATGCTGAAGTTATGCAGCTTTTCGTGAATAAAATGTATCTCCCTAAAAAAAAAAAAAATGTAGGAACAAGAAGGCTATGAAGCTTCCTTGTGGCTGCCAATGTCTCTGGGTGGACAGGGGGACCTTTAGCCTGGGTGCTCAGCTGCCTTGCAGCACCTTTTTTGTTCTCCACTCTGCTCTGGATGGTTGAGGATGCTTGAGTTCTGGATAGATGGGATATAATGGAACTGCAGAAAGAGGACGCAAATGATGAGGCTCCAAAAAGGGGGTAGGGGATGGCAGAGGTCTATTTTCTACTTGAAGGGGAATGAAAAATGAAACTAGACCTTTTCCTCTTATTGTTGTTTATTAATATATGTTTCTAAACACTGCATTTTGAAAAAAATTGTGATACTACAAAAAATATTTTTCTACCAGTATTTGGAAATCCCAAGGTCTTCCCAGATGAGAAAGTGGACGAGGTAGAATCATGCTTTGGAGGATGGCATATCTACTGGGGAATTCTTATTCTTGCCTAAGAGGTTGTGACCTGCCTTCCTCACATTCCCATGGAGGGAGCTCAGCCTTGGAGAAGTGCTCACCCTGGGCTTTTGATTGCTGTGCCGGGAGTCTGCCCCTTGTTTCCCCGCTCATGGGTTGCCATGATCCACCACAAAAGCAGTTCTGGGGAAAAGCTGTATCTTGTTGTAGAGGTTTTCAAGTGTGAAACACACAGTAAAACTTAATGCTATCCTTTTTCTGGAACAAACAAAAAGAAAACTGCTGAAGTGGAAAATTCAGAATGGAAAATACAGGAGAGCCATTAGGTTGGAGTTTTAAAAATGGAAAAGAATGCCTGTGTACTCCACATGTTTGCATGGGTGAGGGCCACCCATCTGTTGGGTGATGGTCAGTGGACTCCGGTCTTCAGGGCTCTTCTGATGTGGGTGAGATGCTTCACGAGGACCACTATGTGAGTTTCTCTTTTGTTTGGCTTCATTGTCAGTCCCCAGTTCGTCTCTGCATCTCCCCTCCCCGCAGCTCTAAACTCCTCATGGCACACCTGCTGATGCCACTCAGCCTCAGGCTCAGTCCCAGCTTAACCCTTCCAAGTCTACAAGCAGCTTCTGTGCCACTCCTCAGACTTGGCAGGATCCAAAGCCCAGGGACCCAGTCATCCTGCTAAACTCTCCAGTGTCTCTGCTACTGGGTCTCCTCTGCTGCCACCAATCTTGGGACAAGCATCCCCAGGGGCAGCCCTCAAGGTGTGGGACTTGGCTGCATCCTGACTCCTGAGTTCTGCCTTCACAACTGGCCTCCTTCTCTGCTTAATCAGGCTTAGCAGTCACCCTGCCTGCCCCTTTGATTGGTGACCAGAGTCTTTGCTGGCATCTCTCACCATTGCTGGACATACATGACCTTCTCTCTGTGAGTGCCCCAGCAGGCTGAGCTGCAGAGAGGGACAGCAATGGCACAAATTATGGGCAGTGAGGAGTCAACAGATCTCTAGGGAGGAGTTATAAGGGGAGAATTTTGAGGGCAGCACACAAAAAAGGCTGGGTGGGAGTAAGAGATGGGAAGGGAGACTAAATAGTCTGCCCAGGCATGACTCAGGGATCACACTAGGATGCCACTGTGATGGGATCCTTTTTGGATGTTAAATTAATAGAAGGTAATTTAATAGAGATGGTGAATTTCTTTTGTTATTTCTTGGGTTCCACAGGGCCAATTACAGGACTCAATCTTCTACTAATTATGGTATTCTCAGGGGGTCCTGGAGCCAATACTGGATTGTCCCAAGGGACAACTGCATTTGTTTTACCACTTTAATTTGTACTGCAGGCCACACAGCTTATGATGATCTATCATTTCCCAAATGCCCTGGGATGCTTCCCTATGCCCTGTTAGTATCACACTGTTGGCAGAAGTGGCCAGGTAGCCACCAAAGGTGTGTGTTTGTGTTCTGTATCATTGCATAGAGCTGCTGCCAGGAAGTTGCTTTCTGGCAAGGGCTACCTTGCATGTAGGCGGGGCCCTGGGCCAAGCTGTTGCTAATAGGAATTGATGAGAGGAATTGATGAGTGTCATGTCTGGGTCTAGGTAGTTACCAAAGTCTTTTCCTATTTGTTAGCTGATTGGAGAAACTGTTGAGGACTTAGAGTGGGCACAGTCACAATACAGAAGGAGCCTGGGTTCCTGAATGGGCATATGACAGGTGCGTCATAAGAAGTACCTGAACTGTACTGTGGCATGAATAGGAAACAAATCTTCATTGTAGTAAGCGCCTGACAGTCCATTGAGGTAAGCGCCTTAAGTCCACTTAAGGCTTAATTGTTACAGTAGTAACTGGTGTTACTGTAGCCACTGCATATTGATTTAAATCACCCAATGCCTTTTTGGTCCTAACCAAGATGAGTGGCCCCATCTTAGTCTGTGTTTCATCTCTCTCCTTTTGCCCCTTCACTGAGGAGCTCAGGAGCTGCCACTGTTGAATGGGAAAGTTTTGAGGCAAGAATGATGTGAAAAGGCAAACAGGATAAGAGGTAGTTTAGGGTAGCTATTGAAGGAATTTCTTCTCTGGGCTTTGTGAGGTTTTTTTTTATTTTAAGTGATTTCTGGGTCTCTGGAATTATGAAAGTAATGGAGTCATGAATATAATTACCTCTATTCTGTAATTACCCGGCAAATATCATATGAATACATAGGGGGTTTGAGTCAGCAAATCTGGCAGCTGCAGAGTTTGATTATGATGATTTAGCTGCTGGGAAATGCCAGAGATTAATTTTAGTCATCAGTGTAGGAACAACAAGGAGAAATGACCCCAAATTAGGAAAGGACAAATGCAGGCCATGTGGGGAGCGCATTTTATGACTGCAAGTCAATTAGACACAGGAGCTTACCTCTGGGGAGGACCACCCCTCAGAGCCAGGCCTGCAGGGTAAGGGGTGAACTGGAGATGTGCTTGCACACTGCTATTTCCCCTAGGTGACTGCACCATAAGAACCTCACAAGTGAGATCTCGGAGGGTAGCAGATGTGTTTGTTTCAGCTCTTTGGCTTTCATAGTGATCGTTCCCTTTCGTTTTTGCCCAGGTACTCCTCTGAGGTGTACTTAGCCCAGTGATTCCCATTTTACAGATACTGATATGAGTCCTAAAGGAATGGATTTTTCACGGTGGCACAGTTAGTGGGATTTTCTAGGTTAGAACCTAGGTCCCCTGTACCCTTTCCCTTATTTTGCACTGGCTTTGGTGAGGAACGTATCTCCAGTAATAATGTTTGCCCAGTGGAATAGGGTGATTCCATTTATAATTTGATTTTGGGTTTTGGGAGAATTTCATGAAAAAAAATGTGGGTACTTCTTGTGCAAATCACGTCCTGTTTTCCCTCAGCAGGATAAGACCCTATGCAAACTTGAGGTCTCCTAAGAGAGACCAAGGATTCTGTATTAAGTCCATTTTCACACTGCTATAAAGAACTACCTGAGACTGGGTAATTTATGAAGAAAAGAGGTTTAATTGACTCACAGTTCTGTAGGCTTGACTGGAAGCATGACTGGGAGGTCTCAGGAAACTTATAATCATGGCAGAAGGTGACAGGGAAGGAAGCACATCTTACCATGATGGAGCAGGAGAAAGAGAGACAGAGAGAGAAATAAAGAGAAAGCACGAATTGGGAAGTGCCACCCACTTTAAACCATCAGATCTTGTGAGAACCCACTCACTATCATGAGACCATCAAGGGGGAAATCTGCCCTTACGATCCAATCACCCCCAGCCAGGCCCCTCCTCCAATATGACATGAGATTTGGGTGGGGACACAAATGCAAACCATATCAGATCCCTATAATCTCACCTTTGCTGAGAATTCCACTCAAGAGCTTCCTTTGCTGTTTGCTCTAGACAATGTCCACCCACCACCACTGGAGGAGCGAGAGCTGTGGTATCTGGGTTGAGGCCAGCACTGTCCTGAGCATTTTCCATTAGCTAGAATGATGGATGACTGGGGCTGTTTGGGGCAGGGACTGAAGTGTAGAGGAGGTGGTGTCTTGGGGCATAGAGGAGAGAGCTCACAGATTCCATCCAGGCCTGGACCTGTTCCTTGCATTGGGTTTGAAGGAATCAGAGCAATTTCTTGTTTTTTTTTTTTTTTTTTTTTTTTTTTTTTTTTTTTTTTTTATCAGTGGAATAAGCAAGCCTTTCTCTTAAGACTTTGACTAAGGCCTGATAAGCTGGTTTCATTAGAGGGCAGGGCATCCCCTCACTTTCTCTGAGGGATCAAGGCTGCTGATGGGAGTGTAGGAAGCGTGAGTAAGCCAGGGTGGAAGGGCTGGGTTCACAGGACTCCAAGGTAGTAGAGGGTGTGAAACCCTGGCATGTTCATAGCCACAGGCAGTACCAGGGATGCAGGGGCGAAAGCTGCTCTGGGTGGTCGCTGTGTCCACAGTTACTCTCTAGGTGGATGGAAACATCTCTATCAGATACACTCCCAGACTCCCAGCTACATCTTGCCAACACACTCAGACCTGTGTCATATCTCTACCAAGACCATAGGCAGAGCACAGATCCTTACCCAGGGTTTTGTCAGCAACTGGAAAGTATTCTATTCCTCACAATCTGAATTTAGACCTAAATAGTTCTTTCGATTGAATCTCCAACCCATTTTCCTGATGCTGACCTGGACTCTGATAATAGCTCTAAAACAAATGTCAACAGCTTCTAAAACATAACCTAACCCTAAGGTCGATCTAGAAGTCCAGGCCCTAACTGGAACTTAGGCACCATGCTTTATTGTGAATAAGATTCTCACCCTAACCTGCAGTCTAATTCTAACCCTAACCTTGACCCTACATTAAGTATTACTAAGTTTTGCCAATACAGATTCAAACTCTAATATTGACCTAGCCTTAAAACTAACCCAACCCAGAAATGATTTTTAAGGTCTGGCTCTTCTGAGCTGGGATCTGGTACCTTGATCTATGATTCTTTCTCTACTTGTCCTTCCACTCCCATGTCTGCTACTCTGGGCTCCTTAATGTGATAACCCCTGTCTCCCAGGAAGGGTTTTGAGTCTTGAACTTTGAACTGATATAATTTCTTTGTGATTTCTAAGGTGGAAGACTAGTTGATTTGATGATCAACTAATTTTGGGTAGTGTATTAGTTGAGGGGAATAGATTAAGGTGTTACCCCTTAAGAATCTATTTGCATAAAGAATTCTTAGTTTTCAAATAGTTATCTAATCCCAGGGTCTTGGGGCAGGGGAAGAAAATCTTAAAATCATTATGTGTGGTGGTGGAAGGCATAGATTTCTGCTTGAGATCATCATCTATCTATGCCTCACTTTTCTAAATTATGAAGTAGGAACACTTCACATTTAAGATTAAATGAGATAATGTATGAAAAGTGCTTAGAACACTCAATAATTGCTCATCATCATCACCATCATCATCATTGTCTTTCTATTTCTTAAACCCTGAATATATCTAAAGTCATTTAAAATTTTCCAAAAATGAAGTAAGTTAAAAATGTGAACCCAATTTTTCACTGTCAGTTTTCAGCAAAAGCTACCATTGTAAATATAAACATTTTTTGTAAAAGTAGCCTTCCTGAGGGCCAAGACGAACAAAATTATGTAGACAACTTTTCTGTTAAGTAGAGACATCGGTGGAAGATGGTACTAGAAGGTACACGTGTGCAGCAGAAATCATCTCTTAATAAGTTTCATTCAATATGACACAGCAAAAGAATTAAAGCTATGGCGTTAGACAGATGGGTTTCTTGTAGCCATGCTCCACTGCTTACCAGTGATAGGCAAAGTCATTTATTCACTCATTCATTAAATCATTTCCTGCACTAAACAGGGTGACCATGGTTCCAGCCCTCATGGAAGCTTTCAATCTTGTGACACTGAAAGATCCTAATCATGCAAACAAAAGCATATGTAATTACAACTGGAGACAAATTGAGTTGTAAAAATTAGATTTGATGAGAGAGGATAACAGGGAAGAGGTTCCTCACTTAATTGCGGGGTAGGGGGTGGGTGTCAAAGAAGCTCATTCTGGTGCTGCAGGATGAATAGGAGCTATTCAGGGGAAGAATGTTGGAGGAGAGTTTTCTTTGTACAAACAAGGCTCTCAACTGCAGGGGAATTCCACTTTATTTCACAGTGTAGTGTTAGTGGTGGCTGTGAGCTGGTCACCAATAGAGATCACAGCTGTTTTCATATCATGTTCGCTGAAATTATGGTAGTTACTGGCACCTTTGCAAGATCTTGTCAGCAAATGCACTGATAAAGAAGCACATATATTGTTACTATATGGCAAATATATTTTTAATAGACTATTTTTAGAGCAGTTTTAGGTCCACCGCAAAATTGAGCAGAAGATACAGAGATTTCCCAAATATCTCCTGCCCTCTACAGATGCATGGCTTCCTCTCCTATCAAAATCCTCCACCAAAGTGGTACCTCACAGATGCAGCTGTATTTTGATATATTTTTTATAATCCTATGCATTTTATTTTACACATTAAAAAACACTCTGAGCAGGGTTCCATAGGTTTCACCAGGCGGCCAAAGAAGTCCAGAGCATGCAAAGGGTTAAGATAGCAGGATGTAGGAAGAGCAACCTGCTGAATCCCTGAAGGAAAGGAAGGATGGCAGTCCTGGGATTGTGGGGTAGCTTCAGCCAGGAAGAAGGTGGCAAGGTGAGGCTGGAGCCGTGGGAAGGTCCGGGTGTTGAACAGCCTTGAGGGCCACTGCAAAAATTTGATTTTCTTGTATAGACAATGGGAAGCAATGGGAGGGTTTTCAGCAGAGATCGACTTTATAGTTTGACTTATCTTAAAAACTAAAAGCACCACCACCTCTTCATGATTGCATGTGAGGAAAGGAATGGAGGGTTTAGAGATGACACAGAGACACCTACAACCTGGACTGGCATGATGGTGATAGAAATGTAGAAAAGAGAATGGAAGTAAGAGAGATATCCTGGAGGTGAAATGGGAAGTTTGTGGTAATGGATTCGATATGGGCGGTAAGAGAAAGAGAAGTGTCAAGGATGATTCCTTGGCTTCTTACTTATGTCACCAGCGGATGATGGTGCCATTGTCTGTGATAAAGAAGACCGAGGAGCGGCCAGGGGAAGGAAGTTCTGTTTTAGACACGTCAATTGAGATGCCTGTGAGACATCCAAATGGATGTGTCAAGTAGGCGATTGGATAAATGAGTCTGGAGCTTAAATGAGATCTGAGTCTGAGATATGAATTTGGAGATGCCAACATATAGATGACATTGAAAGTCATGGAGATGAATGAGGTTGCCTTAGGCGAGAGCAAGATGAGAAGAGGATCAGAAGGCTCCGAGGAACTTCTCCACTTAGAGAAAGAGTAATAATAGGTTACTGTAGTAATAGTGATAATAAAAGGAGCTAGCTCTAATAGAGGGCTCACTATGTGTTGGGCGTTGTTCTAGTTGTGCTGCATGTATCCTTTTATTTTTACCGCAACCCTATGAAGTAAACTGAGTCATGAGAGATTAAATATTTGCTGAAGTCACTGTTAGTAGATGGGGGAGCTCAGGGTATGAACTCAGCAATCTGGCTACAAAACTTTTTCCCTTAATCCCTGTGGAGCCTGGAGGGGAGTAGCCAGGAGAGTCAGAAGGTAGAGAGAGAGAGAGCAGCCAGAGGAAGCCAGGAGTGTGATGTCAAGAAAACAAAGAGAAGAATCTTCAAGATGGAGGGGGTGGTCCGCATGGTCAGATATAACATAGAGGTTATAGGCAACAGCAGAAAAAGCCATTTTTGTGGAGTGGTAGGAGGAAGTGGAAATCAGTTGGTGTGGCTTGGAGAGAAAATGAGCAGAGGATGTAGAGATGGCCATGGCCCTTAACTTTTCCCTTGAGGATAGAATACTCACTTTGCAGGGTAGTTAGAAGGGTTGGAGAAAGTGTATATAAAGCACACAGCATTGTGCCTAGCACACAATAGGCATGCAATAAATGCTTATATTTTAAAAGCATGTCTACATAAATCTTGAGGTCATAAAAGCCAGCAGTTGACACAGGAGCAAGAATATAAATGCACAACATTTGTTCGACCAGCATGTAGGTGTGCAGGCACTGTGACAAGTTCAATGAGAGACTTCAGGATGAATAAGACAAGCTCTAGCCCTGGATGAATTGACAGGCTGGAGCTAGAGGAAAGACATACGTGGGAAAAGGTAACAAGGCTCTCTGTGACATACCAGCCCCAGTGAGTAGGCAAATATGGAAGGTGGAAGGAGTTCAGAGGAGAGATCTGAGGCCTGGATGCGTGATGCATTTTCCTGGAGAAAAGATGGACTATATTGCCAGGATCCCTGTTTCTGCCTAAGGAATGAGGGACTCAGGCAGGGGCAATGGCTTTGTCACTAACCTTGGTAGGTTTCAGGCAAAGCTATCAGTCACATACACCTTCACATTTGGAAGTACTTCTCTCCGCAGGGCTAAAAGCAATTTGTAAACAGAACAGAGTCTATCTCATGACTTCCCCCACCTCCAGCCTTCCATCCCACTGTGAGTGATGGCTCAGGCTTGTGGGAAGGAGCCAGAGACCCCTGGTGTGACTGATGGCAGCATGGGGAAACTCCCACAGAAGTGACTTGGAGCCCAGAGTCAGAGAACTGGGTTGAGACATGGGTTGTTCTCAGGGTTCCTCAGAGCTGCTCATCAGATCCTTCCCTAGTGGGGCTGCACTGAAGGCAGGCCTCGCTTATTCCTGGGTCCCTCCCGTGTTTCTGCTCGCTGAAGAAAGGTGAGTCTAGCTCAGCACCATAGTCGGGGGTTTCTACCTTCAGAGAGGCCACTGACATCTCCTTTGCCCCCAAGGCTGTGTGGGTGGTGGCCCAGAGAAAGGCGGAACAGCTTTATCTTCTCCAGGGATAGCCTTCCCCAGGCCCTTTCCACTTTGCTGGGACCTCTGACCTGTGCTTTTGATCGGAATCCTTGGTGACTTGGTGGGGAGGAAAAGGGCCAGGCAGGTCATGGTGGGCAGCAAGGCAGAACTGTGGGTGCCTCTAGGGACTGGGCAGGGTCACCTGGTGCACAAGCACCCGTGTTTTCTGCCTGCAAGCCCTAGATACATTTGGGGAGCTGTGGGGCTTTCTCAGTTATTTGGAACTTGCTCCAGTTTTTCTGATATTAGTACGTTGCTCTCCAGCAAGTACTCTGTTTCACACCATTTATATAAAACCTTCTGTAAATGCGGTTCTTGTTAATTCCTATAGAGTCACTGGGTGCTGGGTAGAGTTATGGAGAAGGCAAAGCCAGGTGAACTTGGGGCAGGCTATGCAGGAACTTGCTGATATGCAAGAATATCTATTGTATGGGATTAATGGAGAATTATTCTGTATTTTTGCTTACTATTTCACTTCTTCCTAGCCTGCCTAATCCTAGTCATCATCCGAGGCTCTGATTAAGTTCTACATCTTCTAGAAAGCCCTCCTTGATAGTTTTTATTTGCAATATTCCTTTATTTTTTATAAAAATAAATTCACCTACCATAAAATTAATCATTTTTTTAAAATTTTACTTTAAGTTCTGGGATACATGTGCAGAACGTGCAAAATAATCAAGGTTTGCTGCCAGTTATGCGCAATGGTATAGTCGCTGTGGGAAACATTTTGATGGTTCCTAAAAAGGTAAACATAGAATAACCAAGTTACCCAGAAGTTCCACTCCTTAGTACCTACCTACCAGAACTGAAGGAAAAGTACTGAAACAAGTATTTGTACACAATGTTTATAGAAGCAATATTCACAATAGCCAAAAGGTGGAAACAGCCCAAATGTCCATCAACAGATGAATGAATAAACATATTTTGATATATACCAACAATGGAATATTATTCAGACATAAAAAGGGATGAAGTGCAATACTGATACATGCAATAGGGCAGATGAACCTTGAAAATATCAAGCTAAGTGAAAGAAACCAAGCACAAAAAGACACATACTGCATTATTCTTTTTATGTGAAATATCCAGAATTAGTAAATCCATACTGACAGACATAGATTTTTCGTTGTTGTTGCCAGAGGCTGGGGGAAGGGGGAGAGGTAGGCAAAATTCACCTACCATAAAATTAATCATTTTTTAAAATTTTACTCTAACTTCTGGTATACATGTGCAGAACGTGCAGGTTTGTTACATCGGTATACATGTGCCATGGTGATTTGCTGCACCTATCAATCCATCATCTAGGTTTAAGCCCCACATGAATTAGGTATTTGTCCTAATGCTCTCCCTCCCCTTGCCCCCCACCACCCTACAGGCCCTGGTGTGTGATGTTCCCCTCCCTATATCCATGTCTTCTTATTGTTCAACTCCCACTTATAAGTGAGAACATGCAGTGTTTGGTTTTCTGTTCTTATGTTAGTTTGCTGAGGATGATGGCTTCCAGCTTCATCCATGTCCCTGCAAAGGACATGAAATCATTCTTTCTTATGGCTGCATAGTATTCCATGGTGTATATGTGGCACATTTTCTTTATCCAGTCTATCATTGATGGGCATTTGGGTTGGTTCCAAGTCTTTGCTATTGTGAATAGTGCTGCAATAAACATATGTGTGCATGTGTCTTTATAGTAGAATGATTTATAATCCTTTGGGTATATACCCAAAATTAATCATTTTAAAGTGAAAAATTTAGTGACACTGTTGTGTAACCACCACCTTCATCCTATTCAAAAACATTTTTATCACTGCCCAGATTAAAACCCATATCTACTGAAGAGTTGCTCCCCACTCTCCCCTCTCCCCCAGCCTCTGGCAACAACAACAAAAAATTTATGTCTGTCAGTATGGATTTACTAATTCTGGATATTTCACATGAAAAGAATAATGCAATATGTGTCTTTTTGTGCTTGGTTTCTTTCACTTAGCTTGATATTTTCAAGGTTCATCTGCCCTGTTGCATGTATCAGTATTGCACTTCATCCCTTTTTATGTCTGAATAATATTCCATTGTTTGTGTATATCAAAATACATTTATTCATTCATCTGTTGATGGACATTTGGGCTGTTTCCACCTTTTGGCTATTGTGAATATTGCTTCTATAAACATTGTGTACAAATACTTGTTTCAGTACTTTTCCTTCAGTTCTGGTAGGTAGGTACTAAGGAGTGGAACTTCTGGGTACCTTTTTAGGAACCATCAAAATGTTTCCCACAGCGACTATACCATTGCACATAACCGGCAGCAAACCTTGATTATTTTCTTTCATCATAAATCTTTTACAAAGGCAATTATTGTATTTTTTCCCATGTTATATGCCTTGTGGGATTTCTATCATTGTTTACACATCATCTTTTAGCTCGACTCTAAGCTCTGCAACCTCTAAGACAGCATCTTCTTCATCATTGGTTCGTTTATTAATTTGTGGATTCAATTAGTAGTTGGCAGTGTAGTTTAGCAGCTAAGAATCCTGGCTCTGGAGTGGAACTACCTGGGCTCAAGAATTAAATCTGCCTTGCTGGGCGTGTGATTTGGGACAAGCTGTTTCACCACTTTGTGCCTTAGTCTCTTCATCTGTAAAATGAGGATAATGATAGTTGTATTAGTTTCTCATCTCTGTTATAACACATTACCACAAACTTGGTATTAGTGGCTTAAAATAACACGGATTTATTCTGTTCTAAAGAGACATGCACATGTATGTTCATTGCAGCACTATTCACAACAGTGAAGACATGGAATCAACCTAAGTGTCCATCAGTGATAGGCTGGATAAAGAAAATGTGGTACATATACACCACGGAATACTATGCTGCCCTAAAAAAGAATGAGATCATGTCCTTTGCAGGGACATGCATGGAGCTGGAGGCATCATCCTTAGCAAACTAACGCAGGAATAGAAAACCAAATACCGCATGTCTTCACGTATAAGTGGGAGCTAAAATGACAAGAACACATGAACACATAAAGGGGAACAACACACATTGGGGCCTATCGGGAGGTGAAGGGTGGGAGGAGGGAGAGGATCAGGAAAAATAACTAATGAGTACTAGGCTTAATACCTGGGTGATGAAATAATCTGTACAACAAACCCCCAGGACACAAACTTACATATATGACAAACCTGCACATGTACCCCTGAACTTAAAATAAAAGTTAAACAAAACCAAACAAAACAAAGGTTTACTTACAGTTATAGAGGCCAGAAGTCCAAAATGGATCTACTGGGTTAAAATCTCATGTGACAAGGCCACACTCCTTCTGGGGGCTCTAGGGAAGAATTTGTTTCCTTACGTTTTCCAGTTTCTAGAGGGCACCTGCCTTCTGTGTCTCATGGTCCCTTTCCATGTTCAAGCCAGCAACCACATCACTATGACCTCTGCTTCTGTCATCCCCTCTCCTTCTCTGACTCTGAATCTCCTGTCTCCCTCTTATAGACTCTTATAAAGACATTGGGTCCACCCATCTAATCCATTACAGCCACCCATCTTCAGGTCATTAACGTAACCACATCTGCAAAGTCCCTTTTGCCAATATAAGGTAACATTGTTAAAGGTTCCAGGGATTAGGCTGTGGACATTTTTTTTTTTTTTTTTTGCTGGGGGACATTATTCTACCTCCCACAATTGTATGACTACATAAGATTATTTTGAAGATAAAATGAGATATCTCAGACAAAGCACAGGTACTTAAAAATGTTAGACACTACTGCTGCTGGACCTATGGCTACTTCTTTTTAAATGCTGTTAGATTTAGTAAGTCACCTTTGTCTTTCCTAATGCCTTGAATATATAGACTGCCCTGTAGGAATGTAGGGACCTCCAAAGTCTCAGTGCTGTTGCTTCTTAGGAATGAGCTGCCTTTTTCTCAATAAGGACAGAGTCACTTATCAAACTTCCCATGTCAGAGTCATCTCTGGGGTTCTACTTAGTTAGATCTTTCTCTTTGGGGTATAATGAATCTGAACCCTGAAGCTCTGATGTATCACAGAGCTCTTGTGTATTTCTTTTGTCTCTGAATTATAGAATCAGAAGTTCTGGGGCGGGGCACGGTGGCTCATGACTGTAATCCCAGCACTTTGGGAGGCTGAGGTGGGCAGATCACTTGAGGTCAGGAGTTTGAGACCAGCCTGGCCAACATGGTGAGGCCCCATCTCTACTAAAAATACAAAAATTAGCCAGGCATGGTGGCAGGTGACTATAATCCCAGCTACTTGCGAGGCTGAGGCAGGAGAATTGCTTGAACCCAGGAGGTGGAGGTTGCAGTGAGCCAGGATTGTGCCACTGCACTCCAGCCTTCCAGCCTGGATGACACAGTAAGACTCTGTCTCCAAAAAAAAAAAAAAAAAAAAAAAAAAATTCTGGGTCTTTGGGAAGACACACTGAGGCTCAAGAATCCAAGGCTGAGTAGCAAAGTCAATTTGGAAGTTGTGCTGAACTCTGAAAGCCTCTGGTTGCTGTCCCTAGGGGACTTTTAATCCTGCAGAAGATGCTGGTTACAAGAGAGGTTCTACTAGGCAGAAAAATCTGCCTGGAAGATGTGTCCGTAGATGCCCCTTATTTTGTCTTGCTCAAGGTGATGGGAAGGAGGATGAAGAGGGAAGGGAGACAAGAGCCTTCAGATGACCTGACACCCTTCTGTAGTCATTTAATCACTTTGGGAGAGTGGGGAGAAGGTAAGATTTTGCTATTGCTGTTGTCAGGCAGTCTTTCTAGTCGTGTTCACTGTAGCATCCCCAGTTAGGATTTGTGCAGCTGTTTCCAGATCTCATGGCAAGAGCAGAGATTCCTTCCCTGTGTGTAACATAGAGGAGTGTGAACGGAGGCCAGATCCCTGCATGAGGAGGTGGTGGGTGGGGTTGGGGGGACAGAGAGTCTGGCTTTAGTGAGGAAACTTGATTTAGTTAATTTGCCTTGCTTGGCCTTGGTCAACCAATCTGAATAAGGTGGGTGGATTAAAGATTTTGCACAAGTCCTAGCAGCTTATGATTCTATAACTGTATAAAGAGTTATTCCAAATAATTTTAAAATAAATTTGTCTCTGATGATTCAGTTTGAGGTCTTATGAACAAAGTGCAATTCTTAGATTTTGACTCAGTCCATGGAAACATTTAGGTCTTACCCTGCCCACTTGTGTTTACTCATCGGCAACGCTTCGAGAAGCCGTCAGATCTCTGGAGTTCTGCCCTTTAGCCACGCCTCAGTTTTGCCAGAACCAGCTGACCCTTGGGACTTTAAGAGGCTCCAAACATCCTGGGGTGTAGAAGAGAGAAGTGTACACTGATGGTGCTGAAATATTTTCCCAGGAACAAAGAAATAAAGGTGTTTTCTTGGCCTTTGTGGCCGTGGGAAAAGAGGACCAGAAGTGGAATTCCCTGATGCTGAAGTAGGACTTTTAATCCCTTCCCACCTGGGACCTCCCTTGAGACCACAGAGGATGGAGTGCTGAGGCCAGGAGTGTCAACACTTTGAATGCTTTCTGGGACCCCTGAACTTTGAAGGAAAGCTGAAGAGTTCTGGAATGTAACAGATCTTTCTAATAGCTGTAGTTGGAATAATATTATACTGTCAGAAGAAAAACTTGAAGCTACCTGGACAAGGGGAAGTGGTCTCACGAGGCCCCAGTGTCGGGAGAAGGGAGAAATCAGGATGGTGGCAGGCAGGCAGCAGAGGCCACAGGGGCAGAGGTCCAGAGGCAGAGCAGGCTTGGTGTGTTTGGGTAGCTCCAAGCAGTTCATTGTCTTTGGAATGCCAGGTGAAGGGCAGGGGGCAGCCAGCTGTGGCTGCAGGCTAGGCAGGGGCAGGCCAGGAATGACCTTGTGGGCAAGGCAGGGTGTTTGAACTTGACCCTGTGAGGGTGTGGGATGAGGAGGCTCGAAGGGCACTGGGCAGGGACATGCTGAAGTTCACTGAGAGTTCACCATCCCTGCTCCTTGTCCTTAGGAGCACACTGTCTCTGTCTCTTTGTTTTCATGGCAGCCTCAGGCTCTTCACTCAAGGAGTTGTCACTTCAAGTTGAGAACAAGCAGAGCAACAAATTCTCAAGAGAAATCTGTGCTTTCCCTGAAGTGCTGTTGGCAGACTGGGAGGAAGGGAAACTTGACACAAGATATGTGGGACTTTGGGGACAAACAGTATATTTTGCACGTCACTGCAGGGCATTGGGAGGTCTTGTGGATGCTTAATTACATCCTGCATGGTTTTGTAGAAAATGCTGTGGTCATAGCTTGTTTGTGGCAGGTACATCTCCAGCAATGGCTGATGATGCTATCCCCTTTCCTCAATGTTAATCTTCAACAGAAAGTAAACCCATTGCAATCTGCGTGAGGGCTTTAGAAAAAGCAGATAGAATAAAAGGGAGAAAAGAAGTCCTCTTTTTTCTCTATTTTGGATACAGGCAGTGGGGCTGTCACTGAATCTGTGGAGGTGGCTGGAGCCCCATGGATCAGAATGGATCCTAATGCAGTGGTTGTGAGGGAAGAGCATGGTGTTGGGGTCGGGTGCCCTCCATGTCTGTCCATTTGTCCACAGACTGGCTATGTGACCCTGGGCAAGTTTCATTCTCTTTCTGGACATCCGCCTTCCCATCTGAAAAACGAGCCACCGAACTCGACATTCTCTTCTGGCTCCAAGTTTCTTCGTATAGTCACTGGGAATGTTCTTCCCCCAAGTTTGCCTACCTCCTCGTGTTTTATCTTAAGCAATTTTTGATGGTGTTTATTATTTATAACAGACTTATTTCCAAAGAGGCTTGGAGTCAGGTTACCATAAGAGATGTGGTCACAATGGAATCATTAACAAGGCAATTAATGATCAAATGTCATTTGGTAGGTGGTGGTGGTGGTGGTGGTGGTGGTAGTGGTGGTGGTGGGTGTACAACATATACCCAACCTTGGATGAAGAGGGCTTTTCCAAGTAAGCACTAAAGGAGAGCTCTGACCTTCCTGGCTGTCAGTGGGGGTTGGGTCCCATCCGCTGCTCAGAGGGAACCCTGTGTAATGGGAGAGCCGGGCCTTGCTGGCACCTTGGAAAGAGGTACAGAGAGTACTAGAAGACACCACTCATCAACAGCACTTCCATAAAGATGCAAAATTTCATCACCCAGCTTTTGTTTGTTTTCTCTTTTAGCAATTCCTATTTTCCTTGGCAGAAATGAGCAAATGTGTCTCAGAAACTGATGAAGGGTGACAAATTTAAGGTTTGCTTAGAGCATTTTTTAGAAAGTGGGAGAGGGCTCTTTCAGGGATGGCTGTGAAGCCTGAGCCTCCCTTCCCAGGCTCCTCTCCCCAGACCCTGGTGAGCACCTGTTCTCCCCCAGTGCATGTGGAAACCGAGCCTTCCCCCATCCCCTGCTCTCCCGCCCACTGCCAAGCAGCTGGAATGGAATCCCCTCCTGTCCCCTAAGCAGCCACCTCATAGAACCTCTCTAGGGATCCAGCACCAGGCTTCTGAGTAGCTCTTCTCTCCCGCTGATCTAGACACCCTTTTGGGGTGTTTGGGAGTCTACCTTTCTTATTCTAAAGCATGCTAAGAAAATGCCACATGCTGAGTAGATATTCTGCACAGCAACTTGTTGAAACCAGAGAAAATAAAAACTTAGCTTGAAAATGAGCAAGTTTCATGTTCTGCAGCTACCTCATCAGAAACACACGTCTGCTGCCTGAACTGTGTCAGAGACAGAAAGCCATCCTTCCAATAACTATGATTCTGACTCTGCATAAATTTGGGGGGTGCTCTGGGAACCGAGGGCTCTGAAACCTACTTTCTTTCCACGGCATGTGCTAGTAGCTCACATTAAGGATAATATAAGATACGTGGGCACTCAGATGCTAGCAGAATTTAACTCATAGCATGGTAGAGGCATTATGTGTGTGCCTGTGTTTAACTTAGGGCTGCAAAAAATGCTAAATTAAGAGCTCAGAGCATTGGCCCCTACATTCATCCATAATAACATGTAACTTTCAGAAGTTGAAAGTGTTCAGCACAATATAATCAGGCTGCACAAAGGATGGAGGCTCAACTGTGAGGCTCAAGTGACTCCACACTCAGCATAAATCTGGGAGGATCTGAAGCTATGGGCATCTTTTAACTAGGAAAGTTGGAGAACTCAAAACTACTAACACTTTCCTTGCTATTCCTCCTGTCTACTGAAATCTGCCACCCCCATTGTTAATTTCCTTTTTGTCCACACCAATTCTGACTTTCATTCCTGTCTTATTTCCTCTTTGAAATTTCCCTTGACTACTCAAACCAGCAGTAATTATAGGATCACAAACTCAGGGAAGTTCAAGGCTAGAAGGGTCTTAAAAATCACTCCAGGCTGGGCGCAGTGGCTCACGCCCGTAATCCCAGCACTTTGGGAGGCTGAGGCGGGTGGATCACCTGAGGTCAGGAGTTTGAGACCAGCCTGGTCAACATGGTGAAACTCTGTCTCTATTAAAAATGCAAAAATTAGCTGGGCGTAGTGGTGGGTGCCTGTAGTTCCAGCTACTCAGGAGGCTGAGGCAGGAGAATCACTTGAACCCATGAGGTGGAGGTTGCAGTAAGCCAAGATTGTGCCATTTCATGCCAGCCTGGGTGACAAGAGTGAAACTGCATCTCAAAAAAAAAAAAAAAAACAAAAAAAAGTCACTCTAGTTTCCCTGTTCTTCAAGGAAGAAATTCCTTAGAAAGTATCTCTCACTGTGGGCCTCCAACTTCTGTTTGAATACTGCTAGCAATGGGCAATTCATGACCTCTTGTGTAGCGTACTGCTTAGGAACTCCTACTCTGGAACCAAACACAGTTAGGTTTGCAGTCAGCTCTGCCCCTTACTAATTGGTTTTTCTTCGGCAGTTTTTGCCACCTCTTTGTGTCTAAGTGTCTTCATCTCAAAAATGGAGTTAATAATAATCTCTACTTCATAGGGCTGTTGGCCTATCCTTGGTTTGGACCAAGGTTGTGTCTTTTAAAGGCTAGGCTTTATAAAATATACTTTTAGAAAAATTTTGTTCTTTCATTTTTTAAGGAAGTCAAGGTTAATAGATATCTGAACTGTGGAATAAAGCCAACATGTCTATGTAGACATCTATACAGACACATATTGCACTCCGGACAGTTGATATTTGTGTGTAAGTTTGCTTGGGCTGCCATAGCAGAGTACTGCAGCCGGGAGCCTTAAACAATAGAAATTTATTGTCTCAGCAGGGTTGGTTCCTCCTGAGGCTGTAAAAGAAGGACTGGTTCAAGGCCTTCCTTCTTGGCTTGTAGATGGCTGTTTTCTCCCTGTCTCCTCACATCTTCCCTCTGTGTCTGTTTCTGTATCCAGAATTTCCTTTTTTAAAAGTACAGCAGTCATACTGGATTAGGGCCTACCCTAATGATCTCATTTTAACTGATTACCTCTGTAAAGACCCCATCTCCAAATAAGGGCACATTCTGTGGTACTAGGAGTTAGTATTCCAACATATCTTTTTCTAGAGGGGATACAATTCAACCCATAATATTGGGTAATGGACAACGTACCAGGCTTGGCATCTAGAGGCCTTGGAATGGATCCCAGTTCTATTAATGACTGGTTGTGTGACTCTGGCTGAGTCTCCAGATCTGCATTTTGCAGCTGTGCATTGGACAGATTAAATTGGATGACAACCCGGGTCCCTTCTAGCACTACAGGTCTAAGGATTGAGTGATCCATTTGTTTTGACAATGAACTGATGGAGATTCAAAGGGACGATTCTCAATATGGAGCTTGGAGAGTGGGAACACAGATGTTTGTGAGTGGGGAGTCTTATGCAGTTCACTTGTCCCCAGACCACACCAACTGCATTGTAAGAAATGGACAGTGGCTTTCCACTGTTCTGAAAGAGTCCTTTCTTTCTCTGCCATCCTGTTTACAATCCTGTTGCTTGGTGAATGGCCCTATTTTAGCTACAGTGTGGTATTTTTATGGACTTAAAAGCTCCATAAAGCAATGATTTCGGGTAAGGTAGTTGAGGAATTCAGTGACTTTAAGAACATATTTGTAATATTTCACAAAAATAAGCCAACTTTTACCTTTTATGGGAATAAACATTTTCAACTGGGAGAGTTGCATTTTTTTTCTCCTCTACTCTAATTCTTAGAATAGTCTTGCAAAAAATGGCACCCAGTAGAGTCCTTTGTGCATTTTTGCCTTTTGTCATATTGTTATAGTCATTGCAGGATGGTTTTATTTTTGTTAAATGACAGTTTAAATGTTGATCCATTTCAGCAGAGCACTGAAGCCATCAGCATATAATTGCATTAATATTAATTCTCATCTCAAAGAGAAAGGGGTTTTGTAATCATTTGTTATTTAACCCCAGCTGCAACCTTCCCAGAAAAGAAGAGGACAAGTTGACAGATCCATGCACGCTCTAAGATGAGCTGTTGTGCTGTCTCTCCATTCAGGGCCAGAGTGGGTAGGGGACCCCTCCTATCACCAAGCATAGTCCTGGGCACACATCAAGATTTTCATAAAAGGAAAGGGAGATTCGTGGTTATTGCCGGATTCAGGAATCTAGACTTAAGCCTTATGCAGGGAAAGGTTCAGAGTTGTTGATGTTTGTCAGATGTAACTAGGAGATTCTCTCAAAACAGATGTACCCTGGGTCATCTCTGATTTTGATGCACTTGCTGATACAGTGATGCGTTTGCCAAAGTTTTCTTTTGGAGAAAGCAACTCCTGTTGGGATTTGGAGTAGGATGTCTGCCAGTGGAAGAAAACTTCCCTCACAGTTCCCTGAAGTGATCTAGGAAGGAATGAAGCCCAAGGTCCAAGGGCCCCCAGTTCTTTCTACCTTGGCCAGCAAACTGCTGTTTTGTCACCTCTTATGATAGGAACAGTGTGTCTGGCTGTGAAATTTCCATTCCTTCTGAAATGCAGAAGTGATCTACGATAGAAATCTGGGTGTAGCAGAGAGCTTGGAGGAAACAGTATTTTTCATCATTCAGAATCTCACAGCCTGGACCGGCCCTTGGGATGGTGAAAAATTTAGGCTGTATCTGGACACTTTGCATAAGTCCTTCGTGTGACCAGACTCCTTTGTGACCATCGGGGAGTGGGGTGGTGCCTCCTCTCAGAGCTCTTCCCTGGATTTGGGCTGAGATAGCTATGTCACTTCATGTCATGTCAGGATTGGTTATTCTTCCAATGTCATACCTTTAATGTCTTTTCTTTTAGAGGACAGGGCAGGGCCCAGGTCTCAATCTCTGCCCCTTCCCATCATCTCTTGAAGTCCCCATTCATCAAACTCATTTGTAGCCCTTACTTGTTCACTGAATGAATGTCCATTCATCTTTGGAAGCAGCCAGCCTGTTGTTAGCCATCGGTGGCTGACCTCCTCACCTCCATCACTGTCAGTGTCTCTGGCCTGGTTCTTTGGAGGCAGAGTCCCCAGACAGGAGACCTAAAGAGACAGGATGATGTTTGGGGCTTTGATTCTTCAGAGGTTAGATCCTTAGACAAGCAAAGCTGAATTAGCATCTGAGAACCTTCCTCCTGAGGGACCAGTCCTCTGCCTCCAGCTGACCTCTGGAAGATGGGCAATGATGCTGTTGACAACATCCGGTCAGGGGTCAGTGTGGAAAAGCAAGCAAGGTCACCGTCCATCACGCTGAGTCCACTGTGGTCATCCTGCAGGTATTACTGAGGGTCTGATGTGTGCCAAGGATTGTGTCAGGCCTTGAGCAGCATGACTATGAACCTGTGGTGCTTCCTACTTTTGGGAACTCAGCTGCTTGAAAAAGACAAGATACCCACTGGGAAAGCTGACTTATCTAAGACCCAGGGATTAGCGTCTGCCACAATTACTTGCACAGCAAGGCATCCATATCTGTTTTGATGAATAATTAAATGAATGAAGTGCCAAATGGCTATTAGGAAGGAATGTCTAAGAGGAAAAGTGCTGAGATCTGGGAAATTCAAGGGAGAATTTTGTAGATGACTCAGGTAGTCTGGAAGGACCTGCAGTTTTTGAGTTTTTGACAAGATAGAGAAGAATGAGAGGTCCTGGCAAGAGAGTGGCCCCAAGGCTGGAAGGAATGGAGCAGAACAGAAATGGAGCTGTGTGTGCGTGCGTGTGTGTGTGTGTGTGTGTGTGTGTGTGTATAGATATAGATATCCATATAGTGTGTGTATTTGTATATTTAGTTTTTTGTTTCCTCATTTACTCTTCCCAACCCTTGTTTGCTACTGCCCCCCACTCTGATTTTCTCTTTGATATTGTGGTCTTTTTTTTAAACAAGCTAGAGAAGTTCTGCATTTTAAAGCCTATCTTGCCTGCCAAGTTGTGCTCCCAAGTCCTCTAAGCTCCACATGCAGCCAGAATAACTTTAGGATGAAGCTCATTAATAATGTGCATGGTAAATCACATCCGCTGCAGGAGGCCTGCAGAGGGGGGCTCTGCCCCTGTCATCAAGCTTTCAGAAATGGCAGCTCACAAATAGGACACCCCGTCCCCACAGCCTGAAGGTACAGGAGCTGTCCACACAGGTGTCCGGTGGGGACATTTCTTTGGTAAAATTTCTCCATCCAAGGTAGGGGCTCAAGTGCAAAAGCCTGGTCTCTTTAGATATAGTTGCTTCCTGGCTCAGCATCTTTGTTGCATCTTTGTGGATATTCTCAGCTGGGGGAAGGGGATTTCCAATGGCATACTGCTTAGTATGAATATGCCCATTAGTTATATTAAACAGGCCACTGCAATGATTACAAATAAATTTAGCACCAAAAGGATTGTGCAGATATTCGGAGCCATAATAGTGGTCTTCTGATGACAAATCAACCGGCTTTCCAACAGGTTGTGGAGGTGCTGAGGGGAGGGGTTCGTCTCCCTGGTGGATGACCGCACAGTCTTAAAGGGCATCGCTTTCCTGGAGCAGATGCAGCTTGAGTTTAGTTCAGGTAACATCCTCAAGGCCTGGGATGCCGGCTGCATCTTCTTACTTTTCCTAATATTTGTGAACCATTTTTTTCCTGCTTCATGCTAAATGCACTTGCATCACCCACCTCCAGCTTTCTCCTAGGAGGGAAGGTGCCCACTGTTTACAGCAGGCTCTCCCTGTGATCCTGCTACCTTTAGCACCAGATTCCTGCAGGATCCAGAGGAGCCAGAGTCCATGCTTGCACCCCACTCCTAAGCCAGAACCTTCTGGTGGTCTCCCTGAGACAGCCATTGTCAGGTGAAGCCAAATCCCACCTTTTGAGCTTGTGGTTAATAGCTCATGGATATCAGTCTGGCTATTTTATGCTTCAAAGTGCTGTGTTATTATGCCTTTGATATCCTCTAGATCCCAAGTGGACAGTGCTTTATTAGACTTCTTGAAATTGGGACACAACATTTGAGGGGAAGGAAAGAGTGTCAAAACCAAAGCAAAAAACAAATTGAGAGAGGAGTGATGAATGACAGGCAGGTTCTTGAGCAGAACGCAGTGAATCAAAAGGAAAGAGTATTATTTGTAACAACAAGAGTCATCACAGGATGAGTGTGACCTCTTCTGTGCCAGTTAATATGCTTGTCCTTTATGTGAGGGCAGCGTGGCGTGATGGCCAAGATCACAGACTTCAGTGCTTAATTGCCTGGGTTTGAATCTTGGCTTTCTGCTGATGACTTGAGTGTCCTTAGTCATATAACTTCTCCATGCCTTAGCGTTCCCATCTATAAAATGGGACTAATAGTATTATGTATCTCATAGGATTGTTGTGACAATTAAGTGAGACAATTTATGTAAAGTGTACAGAACAGGATCTGTATCTTGTGAAGGTTACTTCTTTCTAACATGTCTTTGATCATTATTATGCTCGCAATTTTGCTATAATCGTGTACCCATGTGTTAATATTTAAATACCTTGTAAAATATTTTCAAAATTATGAATAAAAGAGATATATTAAAAAGTACAAAAAGCATAAATGTAGAAATCAAGAAATTATCATGAAATGAATACTCGAGTCAAGAAACAGGGCCAGGACCTTGGAAACACTTCTGAGGTCCTCTTCCTGCTTCTCCAGAGGTAACTCTATCCTAACCTTCAAACTATTGTTTATTTTGCCCTGTGTTTGCTCATTGTACATATGGGATCATATAGTCTATTTACTTTTGTGTGTGTCTGTGCTATGGTTTGAATGTTTGTATCCCTTCCAAAATTCACTTTGAAACTTAATGCCCACTGTGGCAGTAATAAGAGGTGGGGCCTTTAGGGGACTAGCTAGGCATTTGGCCCTTCTGCCTTCCCCCATGTAAGGACACAGTGTTCATCCCTTCTGCCATGTGAAGACATAGCAAGGAGGTGAATCTCGGGAACAGGGAGCAACCCTCACCAGACACCAAATCTGTTGGTACTTTGGTCTTGGACTTCCCAGCCTCCAGAACTGTAAGAAATAAATTTCTGATAAATTACCCAGTTTCTGGTATTCTGTTATAGCAGCATCGGTGGACTAAGACAGTCTGGCTCCTATAATTCAGTAATATAGTTGAGAAATCTACCTCTGTTGTTGCATACAGCTGTGGTTCATTTATTTTCATTGCTGTGTGGTATTCCATTGTGTGTATCAGCACATTATTTATTTATTCTACTGTTTATGGACTTTTTAGTTATTTCTAGTTTTGGCTATTAGAAATAATAGTAGTATTAGCATCATCTCCATATTTATTAAAGCACATTTATGCTGAGCATGTACTTAGGAGTATATTGGCTGGGTTATAACATGGGTATGTTTAGCTTTAGTAGATAGTGCCAAATAGGTTTTCCAATTATTGTACCAATTTACAGTCCTGTTCTATGCAAGTGTTAGGCAAGTATGCAAGCTTCTATTGCCCTCCATCCTTACCAAGACTTAGTTTTATCTTTGTTTTCATGTAGCCATCCTGGGAATGTGATACCCTATTGTGTTCTTAATTTGCATTCCCCGATTACTAATGAGATTAGTTATATTTTCACAGTGACCATTTGGATACTTTCTTTTGTGAGTGTCTGTTCAAGTCTTTTATCTTTCTTTTTTTAAAAAAATATTTTTGTTGATTTGCAGAAATTCTTATATATTCTGGATATAAGCCTTTTCTTGGTAACGTGTGTTGCAATTAACTCTCAGTCTGTGTAAACTAAATTTAAACTTTAGATTTATCTTAAGTAGTAATATCTGTGAAGTTATAAGTTTGATGTTTGGTTATTTTTTTTCTAAAATAGCTACCTATTTTAAATAACAGTTTGCCCTGTGCCAACTAAAATGTTCCTGTACCACTGATGGTGTGTTTTCTCACCCTTTGGGAAACACTTCATTATCTCATGTAATCTTCACAAATAACCTATTTGGTAGGTATATTGTTATTCCTTTTTTCCACATATGGCATTGGAGGCACTGAGAGGTTTGATAACTTACCCAAGGACTCACAGCTGAGATGAGGACACAGGGGTAACTGCCTGCCAAGCTCAGCCTATTCCATCATATGGCTGGTCAACAGGCTGTTTTATCACTTGCTTTACACCCTAGATCCTTGAGAGACTCTGCATCCCCACAGAGCCTTGTATGTAGTGGAGCCCCCAGCGTTTGCAGGGTGGATGGATTGTTGGATAAGTGAGTTGGTGAATAGATGAGTGGATAGATGAATGTATGGATTGGTGGATAGATGGATGGGTGGATTGGTGAGTGGAAAGATGAATGGAGGGAGATATGGGTGGATGGATTGATGGATGGATGGATGGAAGGAGGGAGGAAGGGAAGGAGGTGGTGGGAATGAATGACACAGGAAGGTAAGTGTTTTCACAAAGGCTCTTTGCCTGGGGAGGAGCTTGCTCTCAGGTCATGCCCTGGGTGTCTAAACCTGCACCATGACCTCACAGGAGCCTTGCCATGACCCTTCTCTTTTCAGTGGCCTTACTGGAGAGAAAGATCAGAAGGGATCTGGGGAGGAAATGGCAATTCCAGTTTGCCATTGCTGGGGAGAGAGGTGCCCTCTCATCTTCCTCAGCTTAGCAGCTGTTTTAGGAACTCTTGCTTGCGGAGGAAGTGAAAAGTAGTGGCCGGCACACTCCAGTGAGTTGTTAAAGCAGCTCTGTCTAAATGTCCAGAGCAGGGCTGAGATGCAGGCTTGCCTTTGGAATGGCTTTCAGACCCCTGGATGAAGACCCCTTCTCTGCTTCTTCTCTGAGCAGAGAATGGGCAGACTGGAGGGTTAATCCCTACATTCTCCAGACTCACTATGTTTGACCTCACCTCATCCATGCTTTTCTTTGCCTGATAGAACTTACCCTGTTTCACTCTAACACTGGCTAGCTCTGTCTCAAGGGCCAACCTGAGTGTTTCTGTGGAAAGGATGGTAAGTGGGGCTCTGTCTGAAGAGCAACAATGAGAATCTGCCTAGGGAGACCCCTTTTGGGATTGGGGTGGGGTGGGGTGATTGGAAAGGTCACTGTTCCTGGCTATAAATCTGTTCATGAACTATTTGTTGAACTTTTGTTCATACTAAG
The DNA here is from genome assembly GCF_000001405.40 of Homo sapiens. Classification (NCBI taxonomy): domain Eukaryota; kingdom Metazoa; phylum Chordata; class Mammalia; order Primates; family Hominidae; genus Homo; species Homo sapiens. Next base: position 23,031,075 of record NC_000002.12, on the reverse strand, counting down.
TAAGTGGCCACTGGGACCTGTTCTCATGCTGAGTGCTGGTGACATGCTATTCTGGAGTATTTCTGAGCACTTTTCTAGGAAAGTGCTTGTTGTATTTAATAAATTGCATTGATTTATTGCTTTTATTGATCTGCTGAAGCACTCTATATTATCAGAGTTGATAGTCTTCTTAGGAAAACATGGAAGTTCTCTTCATTAGCATCCATTTTTCTATAAGGCTTTGGAGGGTGAAATGCCAGGATGCACAGTGTTCATTCTAGTGATATATTGAACACCATCAGGGTGAACAGTGGCTTTGGTATAAATCAGGTGGAAGGAAGAATTGAGACCATTTGCCATAGGCTCGCTGAAGTTTTTGTGATGAAATGAGCAGGCTTCTTTTCTTTCTTTCCGTGATGACAAACTCCTCTCTTAGTTTTCCACAGGGAGAAGCAGCAGGCTGAAGTGGCTCTTTAGGGAGACACATACCTCCACAGGAAGAGCAGTCTAGATTGTTTTAGCACATTCCACTTAAGGATTGCAGTGTGACAGCAGGTAAATCACTTGCCACTTTTGTGCCCATGCGTCTAGCCTGTCAGTTTGTGCCTGACCCTCACCTGTGACATGCTCTGTTTCTCTCTCTGCTTCCTTCCCCAGACCCAATTGAGTCTGGAAGTAGCTCTGGGATTTGCTGCATGTTGCTGGCCCTGAGTTTTGGAGAGAAGCCCTGATAAGACTAAGAGGGATGCTGATAACCTGGAGGGACATTGATGACGTATACCTGTGCCTCCTTCCACTTTATTTGGCTGGCTGCCTCCCTATGTCCCGGCTTAGGTTTTTTCTTTTTCTCCTGGAGAAGACGAGTGGAGTCTGGCTCCTGCTTTTACCTCCTTACGGAGGATCTTGCAGGCTTAGGAGCCCCATTTCTGGGAGCTTTCAATTTTGACAACTGCAAATCCTTCTGCCTTCCATGTGGATGCATTTGTTGAGCACTCGAAGCTCCTTGGATTCCTTTTGCATCTGGCAAGAAGGAATTTTCTCTCCTTGTGCATCTGCAGAGATTGTGCTGTCATTCCAGGAGACCTCACACTAGCATTTGTGGGGTCCAGGGACAGTTCTGAGTTTGAATCTAGTCTCACACTGTGTGACCTTGGGCAGATTACTTAGTTTCTCTGAACTTCGGGGCATCCCTTAATTGCTTGATAGGGATAATAATGCCAGACTCAAAAGGTTATTGCAAAGGCTAGAGGAGCCAATATTTGCCAAGTGTTTAACAGCATGTGGCACACAATGCCTGTTCAAACACTGGCAGCTATCATTATTAGTGAAGTTTTTCTAAACATGCATTAAGCAGGCAGCACTTGAAGTCGTGGCTAACAAAGTCTCACATTCTCTGTTGGTCCTGGGGGTAAAATTTGAATGAGACTCTCATGCCTCTGCCTGCAAGGAGCTTGTTATTCAATGGATGAGACTGGCAATGAAACAATTAAAATATAGCACAGGAAGTTCTATGGAAGGATGGTGGTGGTGGGGGACATCACAGATCACAAAAGGAACACGTAGGAGGGATATCTAATCCAGTCTAAGATCTGCCACCATCCCTCCCCAGGCTGGACTGAGGCTCTGAAAGCTGACTGGGAGCAGGGAGGGATAAGGAGCAAAGGCAGTGCTGGGAGCCTCCTGTTTGTAGAGAAGTAACCATTCCTGCAATTCCCTCCACATCCTCAGCAAGGACAAGCCTGCTGCTCCCATGATGTCACTTTGCCCTTTAAAAATTGTGTACGGGCTGGGCACGGTGGCTCACGCCTGTAATCCCAGCAGCACTTTGGGAGGCTGAGTCAGAAGGATTATTTCAGCCCAGGAGGTTGAGACTGCAGTGAGCTGTGACTGCGCCACTGCGCTCCAGCCTGAGAAACAAAGTGAGACCCTGTCTCAAAAAGCAAAATGCAAGAAACAAATAACAAAGTTGTGTGTGGTTCCACCTGATTTATCTTGGCAATTATGTGTAGTATAGATTGAGCATACCTAATCCAAAGATCTGAAATCCAAAACATTCCAAAATTTGAAATTTTCTGAGTGCCAACATGACATCGCAAGTGGAGAATTCCACATGTAAGTACTTGACACAAACTTTCATGCACAAAGTTATTAAAAAATTGCCTTCAGGCTCTGTGTACAAGGGGTATATGAAACATAAATGAATTTTGAGTGTAAACTTGATCTAATACTCAAGATATTTCACTACGTGTATGCACATATTTCAAAATCTGAAAAAGTTTGAAATCTGAAACACTTCTGGTCCCAAGCATTTTGGATAAGGGATTCTCAACCTGGACTTGCCCAATGTCTTTATTCCCTGCTATAGAATGCATCTCCTACAGGCATGATCCCAGGCTGTCTGCTATTTCCTCAGCATTTAGCATAGGGCGTGTAACACTTTTTCATGCTCAACAATATTAATAATTAATTGAGAATACAGCAAACATTGAGACTTGCCATACTCTGTCATTCAGAAATGCCCCTAGTCTTTGTGGATCTCCCTCCTCTTCCACTCCTTCCTGCAAGCTGGTGACTGGCTCCCAGTGGGCTGGCTCTAGGCTCTCCTGCCTGTCAGGGATTGGGGTTTGAGGTGGGAGTTGTACTCATTCTGGTAAAGCAGCCAGCACGCCCCTCTTGAAGCTGGTTTTGGCCCTTTGATCTGGCGCAGGCCCCTTGCTCCTCAGGGTTCCCTGTCTGATAATCAATGCTGTCCTTATCTTCAGAGGAAATGCTGCCCAGTGATATCCCACACTGAATTGATTAAAAGCAGAACTTTGAACTCATTTGCTTGGAGAGGTCTTCATGGAGTGACTCACTCTGTCCTCCCTTAATGTTGTCCCCATGTCTGCCGGAAGCCCCATCTGCAGTTCTGAGGTGACTCCTATTGCAGGGCCAGAGAATAATTTGCATTTTCACAGATTAGCTTGAATAGGAGCTATTTAATGTATTTATCTACAACGAACTCACCTTCTTTAACCGACCTCTCTTCAACTTGTGTTTATAGCTCAATTCAGTCAGAACAACCTCCGGGTTTTCATGGCTTTCCCTTTTTCTGTTTTGATTTTGTTCATTTGTTTTTTAATCCAACATTTACCATCATTATGCTTTCCTTCCTTGCAGAGAAAATCCTCTCCAGTCAAGTAATTGCATCCATTTCATCTTCCCAGCCCTCCTCTAGATGGGAGGTGGAGGTGTGTGTACCAATCTCTTAATTCAGAAATGAGACAAGAGGAGGAAAAAGGAGTTCCGGAGGTGTGTGATCCAAGTCTGGCTGCAGGCTATGGACATTCCAGGAGGGAGACTCCATCAGAGAAGTGGAGCTGGAGTTGGGTGTTAGAGGGTAAAGGGAGGGTTTGAACAGGCAAGGGATGGGGGAGGAGTGCCTTACAGTGGGAGAGGGAGAGGCTGCTTGAAAAAGCATAGAGCTGTGAGTGAGCATGCGTGCCCAAGGAGAGGGAGCCAGGCACTGCCAGGGTGCAGGTGGGGCAGACTGGCTAGGTGTGTGGCCAGGGTGTGGAAGGAACATGCTAAGTGTGACAGTTAATTTATGTGTCATCCTGGCTAGGCTATGGTGCTCAGTTGTTTGGTGAAACATCAGCCTAGATGTTGCTTCAAAGGTATTTATTAAATGTGTAATTTAAATCATAGACTTTGAGTAAAGCTGATCACCTTACGTAATGTGAGTGGGTCTCGTCCAATCAACTGAAGGCTTTAAGAGCAAAGACAAAGGTTTTTCAAAGAGAAAAAGAAGACTCTCCTCAAGACTGTGACATAGAAACTCTGCCTGAATTTCTAGCCTGCTGCCCTGCAGAATTTAGAGTCAAGCCTACAACATAACTCTTACCTGAATTCTCAGGCTGCTGACTTACCCTGCAGATTTTGGACTTGCCAGCCCCTCACAATCCCATGAGCCAATTCCTTAAAATAAATCTCTCTTTTTCCCTCTGTATATATTTATGTCCTATTGATTTTGGTTCTCTGGAGAGCCCTGACTACTACACTGAGTGAAGGGAGGGCTTTGCTAAGTGATCATGGTCCCAAGGGCAGCCTCTGAGAGCCCGCTCCTTTTGCAGGATATTTGAAGACCAGACCTTGAGTCAAATTCTGCAGCCAAATTCAATGCCCATAAGACTTTCTGCTCAGAAGACGTCATGCAAAGGGAATCCCCAGGGCTCTTTAAATTAGATCTTCTGTTTGTGCAGACACGTGATAAATGTTTTGGGTACAGCCTGGCTCACACCACATTTTCCACTTTTTGGGTGGAGTCAGTTTTAATTGACAAGAAGTGCCTTTACAGGTGGACTTTTTTTTTGGTGGTGGAGGGGAGTAGTTAAAACCGATGCTTTGCATTCTGTTGGGCAGCAGAAAGATTGCTTTTTCAATAAGCAAGCCTTGGGTTTTTCTGAGCCAGTGGTATGAGAAATGCCTCTCCTGAAGGCCACCACGCAAGCGAGTCCCCACAGAAGCATGCCCGAGCTGTCAGGTGCAGGGAGAAATATCTTTAGTAAGAGCCGGTCATGTAATGAGACTTCCCCACCACAGCATAGATGGGCAGAGGGGTTTCCACAAGGACAATTCTTAAGAATCTCTGTAAAAACGCATGACTCCATCTGTCTCCTCTCTCTTCTTTGGCTTCAGATGAGCTGAGCCATTTAAAAATTCCCCAACAAGGGACCCCAGGCACCAGAAGAAGTGATGAACAGATTTTCAATTTGGCCCTGATTTGCATAAATTTTTTTTTTCTGGCAGTTGAAATCATTGAGACTAGAGGCCGGAGATGGGTAGTAGTGGGTTTTCCCCATCTGAAGCGGATTCTTGATTGGTCTGGAAAGACTGCTGGAGCTCCTGGGTGCAAGGCTCTGACCAGCAGAGCTGGTCAGCAGAGCTGACTGCTCTGGGTGCAGCTTCTCCAGAGAAGGAAGAGATGGCAAAGAGGAAGGCCTGGGGTTCAGAGAAGGACTTTGCAACCCCAATGGGGAGTCAGATCCTCAGGTCTCCTCCTAGAGCGGCTGCCTGGTAACTTTCCCAGTGTCCTTCAGGGAGCATCTCCTCGTCCGTGTGGCTGGTTTCTTCTGATAGGAGGCTACCTTGTAATTTCTCACTGACAGGACAGTGGGGACCCCAGCCAGAGCCTGGGGACTTGGCTGCCTTGGAACCAGAACCTGGCCCCTCAGAGGAGTTGCAGAATTTCGATAGAGGAGTGGCAGGAGGTGTACTGGCTGAAGAGGAGGCCCAAGGTGTGTCTTGAGGCTCCACGTGTGATCATTTGGGCTATGTTTGGTGGTGGTGGTGGTGAAGGGCAATAGTGATGGGAAGGAATATGTAATTATAATAATACTAATAGCTAGCATTTGTTGAACGCTTCTTCTGTCCCAGGTGTGGGCCTAAGGGTTTGCTCATACTTTGTTATCTAATTGCCCCAGCAAGCCTGTGAGGTGGTGCTCAATTATTTTCATTCTCAGATGGGGAGAGAGGTTAAGAAACTTGACTAGTTATCTAGCCAGTAGGTGGTGGTACACCCAGGTTTGAACCTAAGTGGTCTGGCTTACAGCCTGTGTTCCTAACCTCTGCACATACTAACTTTCTCCCTAAGCTGTCTCTTGGCCTTGACATCATGCCTGATGTGTGGGCCAGGCCCCGTAGGTAGCCCTTTAGACAGCAGTATGGGCTTCATGGAGGCAGCTGTAGTCTGTGTCAAGAAACTTCCAACTCAAAAAGAGCCTCCCAAAGCCTGCTACATGTCCGTGTTCAAACCTCTCACCCTACCCTGCTGAAATTCCCTCCAACCTCTCTCCTCTTGTGCACTCAAATCCTGCCTCCCACCCTTTAAGGCCTCAGCTCCCATTCCACCCACTCATGGAGACTTCGGGTAGGGCTACCCCCAAAGCAGTGCTCTCTGGGAAAAAGCTTCAATTTGATCTGGTGGGTTAACTGGATCCCCACAGTAGAAATAACAATATAAACCTCAAGTCTAGATGTAAAAAAAAAAAATCGAATCACATAGGTGGGCTCTCTCTGTCCCATGGGAAGACATGGACGGACAGACACATTAGTAGTGCCCTTCTTGACACTTCCCTTGAAACTTTGCAAGGGGTAGCCCACCCCTGGAGTCTGGGCCTTGTTTGAATTCTTCCTACAGGGCACAGAAAGAAGGGAAGAGCAACTCTGGTCTAGGCAAGAAGGAAAACCAATGAGTATAGAGGTGTGTGTGGAAGGTGCGAGGGGCTGGGGCAGGAAACCACCACCACCACCAGGGAACACCCACTGCATTCCAGAGCAAGACATCCACTGTCGCTGTGGAAGGAGGGGTGGGGGGTGTGACCCCAAGGCCCCTCAGCCCTCTGGCAGCCAGGCGGCCTTGCAGCCCAAGCACTGGGCCTCATCAGCTGGCTGCCTCCTCTCTTTGAGTATCCTGTTCGGTGTATGCCTTGGTCTGGGAAATAAAATGACTGAAAGCCCATAATGAATGTGGTATTGACCAGAGAGAATGATTATAAGACTAGCTACTAATTAGAGACTTAGGCGAAGGCCTGTGGGTAGTTTACAGGGGAGGCCTTGGGATCTCAGCGAGTGGGCAGGAGTGGGCTGCTGATGAGGAGTTGCTCTTGACAGACTCAGCAGTGGTGCACCTGTCAGCTCCTGATTTTTTTAGGTAGGTAAACTGAGGGCACAGACAGAAAAAGTTGCTCACCCAGATCTCAGGGAACCTGACACCTAGGCCAAGAATCTTTCAGCTCAGCTTCTCCCAGGGTCTCACGTGGAAAGAATCTACCTACACTGGGATGTTGCATGGCTGCTGCTTATGATAACTTACATTCATCCAGTCATTCATTCATTTGTTCAAAGACTTTTTATTTTTTAGAGACAAAGTGTCACTCTGTCACCCAGGATAGTGTGGTGGCACAATCATAGCTCATTATAGCCTTAAACTCCTGGGCTCAAGGGATCTTCCTGCCTTTGCCCCCTAAGTAGCTGGCACCGTAGGTGCGTGCCACCACCTGATTAATTTTTGTATCTTTTGTTAAGACACACTGTTGCTATGTTCCCAGGCTGATCTTGAACTCTTGGCGTCAAGTGATCTGTGACCTTGCCTCCCAAAGTGCTGGTATTATAGGCAGGAGACACCATGCCTGGCCCTGTTTAAAGATATTTATAGAGTGCCTGCCATGGGTCAAGTACTGGGCCAGATATGGGATACAGCTGTGAACAAAAACAGACAAACATTCTTCTCCTCATGCAGCTATGTTTTTGAGAAGAAGAGAGAGACATAAATTAAACACACAATAAATAAATAAATACTATGTCAGAAGGCAGAAAAGACAATGGAGAAAAACAGACTGGACTGTGTAGGGTTCCCGCTGTGGCAGGTCTCTGGTCAGAGACCAGCAGGGATGCTCACAAGATAGTAAGGGCAGTGGAAGAATGAGTGATCCCACTCTGGCAACATGAGGGGTGCTGAACAATCTCTCCAGCCTGGAGAAGGGGTAGGAGGTAGAGTTGGAGGACAGAGCTGGATGCTGTAATTCATAAGACCATGTAAGAGATGGCCAAGAGGTACTGTCCCCCAGAGGCCCAGGGAGAGTCCTGGGCAGAGGAATGAGCTGGCAAGGTCAGGGTGGGCTTCCTAGGGGGAGGCAAGGTGTGGCTGGGCATGGAGGAAGTGGCATCATGGGGTATTTAGGGATGGCAAAAGAAGGATACAAGTAGAACTCGTGGGCTGGCCTGGGAGCAGAATACAGGAGGGGAGGAGTAAGGGATGACAGTAGAAGTGCTGTGTTGGAGTGGCCATGGGGATGTGGAGAAGAGGCTCATGGATCTTATCTCCCAGGGAAGATGGGGAGCTCCTGTGATTTATAGCTAGTTGACATTGTGAAGAGGCCACTTTTTAAAGGTCATTCTGGCTGCTGCAGTAGGGTTGTGCTGGAGTAAGAAGGAGCCTGAAATCCTCATGCCTGGAGGGCTGTGACTAAGGGGTGGAGAGAGGGGATGGATGTCAGAGAGGGAGGAAGAATCACAGGACTTAACATTGAGCTTTTTTTTTTTAGTTTTATTATTATTATAGTTTTAGGGTACACTATGCAGCCATATTGAGCTTTGCTCCCCAGTCTGAAGGTGTTTCTCTGGGTTTTGGCAGGGCCATGGTCTCCTGTTTCACTCTTGCACATATGACAACTTTCCAGGATGGGGACAGGAGGCCTGATTGCTTAGGGACACTCTGCAGATGTCAAATCTCTTCCTACCACTGCTGGATGCCACTCAATCTCTCCTTCCACAATCTTCCTTCCCTAAGTCTGGCCTGCACTTGGCCAGTCAAAATCACACAGACTCTGGGGAACAGTTGGCATGAGATGTTGGGGTCAGCCTAGGGCTAAAGGAGATGCACATGATCTGTTCCTGAAAGACCTAGCAGGGAAGGAGCTTTGAAGGCATTAGGTGTCCCGAGTCCAGTTACACTGGTGAAGAAGCCCCAGGGCACGTCTGGGTGCCTGAAATCAGCAGAGACTGTTTTGGGAGGTTGGTCACCAGGGACCTCTTTGAGGGTCTGCAATAAGTGTTCTTCAGCTTGTTGCAGCCTGGCAGAGGCCCTTGGGTTTTCTGGGTGGACAAGACTGAATCAATACAGTACCTAGTGCCCCTGATAAAAGACATAGATTCCAGCCTGGGCTAGGACTGGGTCTGGGAGAGGAATCATGCTGTGATTCCAGGCCCTACTGAATGCCTCTGCTGGGATCCACAAAGCAACCTCTGGACACCTGGGTGGGGCTGTCATGGGTCTCTGGGGACTGCTGGAGGCCTAAGGGTCCAATCTCAGAGCCATGCAGGGGCAGCAACCATGAACAACCAGGGCTCATGAGTAGGGAGAGTAGCCAGGTGGGTAGACCAGATGAACAAATGGAGATTCCAAGATGAGAAAAGGGGCCCCATTTAGTGACAGAACAGAGGCTGGAGTCCTGGTACCACTCCTCCTAGCCCAGTGCCCCTCCCCAACTCCCTGGGGTCTTGAATGGAGCTTAACTGAGAGTTCTCAGAGGCCATCGTGGGACAGATGAGTTTGACAGCCAGCAGTCTAATGTAGAAACTTCGCATTGATTCAGTGAGGCAGTTTTGCTGTGCCAGGGTTGGCTTTCCCACCCTCTCTGTGCAGACTTAGGTGGGTGTGTACTATGTGCTTAATTATAGTGCACATAACCAGAGAGGAGCTACTCAGAAGCACATGTCATTTTGTTTGGGGATAATAGACATGAAGGCTGGAAAATATCTATTAGATCATCCCGTCCTGCCTCTGCCAGAGCTGGTATGACGGGTGTCAAATCACCTGGGCTTTCTTCAGCCTGTGACTCAAACAGGGGGAGCTGGGATAGGCCTCCAGGGAGATGGCAACCCCATGTTTTTCTCAAACTCTGCTCTGGTTTTCCTTGTCTGTCTACTCACATTTTTCATCCGTGGATCTGGTTCTGCCGGCCTTGCCCTCTCGTGTCTTCCCAGTGAGCCTCGACTCCTCCAGCTTCATCTACTGAGCCCCCGCTCTGTAGCAGGGCTGCCCACGCTCAGTTCTAGGGGCTCAGACAATGATATCCATCAATCCACAGTCAAGAGCAACGTGAGACGTGCTCATGAATAATTTCAATTCATGACCAAATATGGAAACCGCCATGCAAGAAATACCAATGCAGGTTAGGGAAGGGAAAGGTGGCTCTGTCTCTGCTTGTTGGAAAGGCTTCTTGGAAGAGATGGCAGCTCCCTTATCAGAGCTGAGTGAGATTTCTTAAGTGCAGGAAAGGGGTTGAGGCTTTCCTCCATTTAGTGGGGGACTACAGCTTCCTTCTCTTCCTCCTACTGCCTGAACTGGGCCTGGTTAATATCCTTTGTCTTCACCTCATCTTTTTGGCTGTGACTGACTCCCTCTAAATCAAACCTTTGCCACCTCGTCCTTCTTATCTCCCCTTTCTCTTCCTTCCCTTGTCCTATTTTAGATAGAGTGGGGCAGCAGGTCAGGTCTCAGACCAGGGTGGGAGTCAGGGACCAGAAAGCTAGGGCCAGAGCTGCCCCTAGTCTTCAGCTCCTGCATCTGCAAAATGAGGGTTAAGGGCTAATCTCTACGGACTCTTTAAAGCCCGATGTTCTAGGAATTTCCAGAGCAGTGAGCTACCCAGCTGAGTCAGAGTCCAGAGGTGCGGTTTCATGGCTGTTTCTTCCTTGTTGTGACTTCCACCACCACCATCAGTCCGGCAGCTCCCAAATCTGCATCCCTAGCACAGATTCCCTTCCTGAGCCGTGGGACCATATATCCCACTGCTCCCTCCATGTCCCTAGGAGGTGCTTTAAAATCAGCATGTCCAAAAAGAAAATCATTATATTGCATACCATTCTGATTCTGTTGCCAGCATGCGTGTGCATAGCACACTCACATTCATACACTTCTGATCATGTGACTTTCTGTTTAAAACCACTCCACCAGGATAAAATCCCCAGAAAACAAGGCTTGGTGTGGCACAGGCCTTTATTGACCTGACCCCAGACTCATCTCTCATCTTCCCACCTCCCCAGACATCATACTTGAGTCAACCCTAACTACTGAACACACCAAGATGTTTCACACCTCCGTGTGTTAGCATTGGTTCTTTCTCCTGTATAGAGGATCATTTCCCCCTGTGTTTTACCAAGGAACTCCTTTTCATACATCAAAACTGAGCTTATCACCTCTACCCTGAAGTCATCCTGGACATCACTGGTCCCAGTTAATCACTCACTTATCTTTGCCATCCTTGACCTGGTGAGTACAGTCTTTATACCATTTATCAATTAGTTATAATATATTTATCAATTTGTTATAATTGGAGAGTTGTAAAGGATATTAACCAGGCCCAGTTCAGGCAGTTTACAGGTGTGTGGGCACCCCGTCTGCTATAGATCTTTTGGTCCTAGATTTCTATAGCACAACGCTTATCACTTATTAAGTACTAAAGTTTCTGATTTTTATAAACGGAACTGAAATGAATCCCAATTACTGACCTGTGGGACTCCCAGCCCTTTGACATCTTGGTCCTGCCCAAAGTCAGGAGTACATTTCCAGAGGGCTCTGCAGTGGGAAATAGTGGTGGGAGTCTGTGTGTATTCAGCTCGATGCATGCCCTATGTTAGGTGTTTTCCCTTTTGCAGGCTGGAGTGAGCCCTTGAGCTGACCCAGAAGTTCTGAGCATTTATCACCCAGTATTGATGACCATGTATTTTGCCTCCTCTCTTTATGCCTAAAGATGAAGGAAGAAATACAAGCTCATGTTACAAAGAGTATTTCCTGGGTTTATCAGCTCTCCCCCTCTCAGCTTGAGCTCTGAATGATTTCTTAGTTCTCAGCTTTTCTTCCTCTGATCAAAGTGCCTGAGGCAGTGAGCACTGGGAGGGCAGGAGCATTTCTGGCTGAGCCCAATGCTCACCTCTTCTGGGCCGTTTTAGGAAGCTGTGGCCCAGTGTTCTCTGGTCAGACAAGCATGGCCTGGCTGTGGAAGGGTCTCCAAAGGCTCATGGGTCCCAGGTGCCCTGGATTTTGAAGGCAGCTGCCCTGCCTCCACTGGGAGAAGATTAAAGCCCCCTTTGCCTTTCTTCGTCCCTCCCTTTCCCACTCTGTTCACTCAATCACTCTTTTCTCTCCAATGAATTAAATGCAGAAAATCCATGAGCAGGATTTCTCTCTTCAAAGGACCAAATAACCTTCTTTCTATTCCCCCTAAATTTTTTTCCAAACTGCAAAAAGAAAACATGCAAACAGACTTCAAGTTAAAGGTGAGAGAAAGAAAGAAAAATTGAAGCAAAGTAATTTTAACTTGAGAAGTAGAGCAGTTTAAACCCAGAAAAAAAATGTACACTCCGCAATATAGTCCTTTCCTACAAATTAATTAACCCAAAGTACTTGTTTAATTAGTGTGAGGGGTAGGGAATTGAGTAGCTAACAATATCTCTCACCCAGTTTAGAATTATGTTCACAAAAGAATTTCTTCTTCTTTTCCTGAAAGGGAAGAGAACGTTGCCCTCATTGGTCTGGAATCAGCAGGTACCTCATGGCTGGAGGTGTATTTTCAGGTGGGTTGGGACTTTGAAGAGGTGGCTTTTCCTATGGACCCCTCTGACTCCCCACCTGTGGGCATGACACAGGTGACCTGGCTGCCAGGGCAGAGGCTGCTTAGCCCTGCTCCAGAGAAACAGAGCTCTGAGGGCTTCCAGAAACCAGGGCTCCTGGCTCCTCAGTCCTTCCCACTCCTCTCTTCCTACTCCCGTGCTGCATATAAACTTTTCTTTTTTTTTCAGATGGAGTCTCACTCTGTCACTCAGGCTGGAGTGCAGTGGTGCGATCTCAGCTTACTGCAACCTCCGCCTCCCGGGTTCAAGTGATTCTCCTGCCTCAGCTTCCCCAGTAGCAGGGACTACAGGACCACAGGTGTATGCCATTATGCTCGGCTAATTTTTGTATTTTTAGTAGAGACAGGGTCTCACCATGTTGGCCAGGCTGGTCTCGAGCTCCTGACCTCAGGTGATCACACGCCTTGGCCTCCCAAAATGCTGGGATTACAGGCATGAGCCACTGCACTTGGCCTGCATATAAACTTTTTGAGTTTCCTGCTTTTGACATGAGCATGGATATTTATCACTTCTAGAGGCATTAGGAGAACTCAAGTCCAAGTGCTCAGAGACCTACAGTGCAGCTTAAGACCCTGTCACAGGAATCTTCGGGGTGGGGGCATGCACGGGAGTTATAGAGAGTTGGGGAAGGATGAGTTCTCAACCAATGCTTTCCTTTTTTCCACAGACTCCTTTGGCATCTGGTGAGGCCTGTGGATTCATTCTCAGAATCACATTTTTAAATGCACATAATAAAATACATAGAATTGCAAAGGAAGTTAATTATATTGAAATACAGTTATCAAAAATATAAATAAAACAAGTATGTGGTACAGTCATATGTGTGCTTCTTTATTAAGTCATTACAAAGCAAGATCTATTTGGAGGTCTAATAACTGTCATATGCTTGAAAAAATCCTTAACAATCATAATATATTAAAAAATCTGATTTCTACTTTGGCAAATCATAGATATTGCTGAAACTGTGGTTTATTGCCTGCATTCATAATTGAAGGAAATGCTAGAGTTCAGTGAGAAGGTTGTGAAAATAAAGAGAGCCTTTTTTTCTCATCAAGGTTCCTTGGACCTCTGAATTCTTTTCATGGATCTTTTGGTGAGTTTTTGCTGATGAATAAATGGGTTCCTTATGAATGTAACTGAACCTTTGTGTCTTCTACTGAATTCTTCTATAATTTACTTGGGGAGTCTTTGCCACTCTTTGTTGGTTTCTTGAAGTCATTGAGGCCTGTGTTGTTAAGGGATTGAAAGAGGATGAAGAGGATAGGAATGGAGTGAGAACCCCCAGTATAGCAGGTGCAAGACAAAAAGTACTAGGTTGTTGGGCTGTGCTGTGTGGAAAGAAGGCTGAGAGCTTGCGCGTGGGGCCAAGGAATGATACAGGAGCGCTGAATGCCCCATGCCTCCCAGAAGGGAAAGTGTGGCTGCTTACGACATAAATTGGCCAAGTCACATGGTGAGAGGGAGGAACCTTAGGGGACAGGCAGGGTGCAGGCGTGTGGGGCGGGGCATATTGGAAGGTAAAGGAGGTGGTGGAAGGTGGGCTACTGGAACAGAAAAACCACCAGACCTGAACTTGAGCCCCTTTGGGCTGTAGGGACAGGGTAGGGCCTCTTTCAAGCTCACCAGGATGCTACACCATGATTGATGTTGCAAGTATATGGATTGTCAGGTACACCTGGTCAGACACTGTGCGTTCTTGCTCTTTCACGTGTTCTCCATGAGCGAGGTGTTGGTGTCGTCATGTGTACTCAGAACATTTTCACCCACTGCCCATTTCCTTCCCAGACAGCCCCTCCCAGTTTCTCCTAAGCAGCAGATTCAAGCATCTTAAATACACATCTGTAAGCCAGCTGCTCATATGCCCCCTCGTTAGTGCCCTTGATCGCTAATAATCTCAGAGCAGAAAAATGGTTTTATCTTTCTTAGTTGCTATTCAGAGGGCTGGGGGTGGGTGATTGAACTTCTCTGCTTGAGAAAGAAAAGTTGCTCTAGGTAAGATTTAATTTTACTAAAGAAAATTCTCAAAATGACTTTTTCCCCTTAATATTTTTTTGTCCTTGAAAACAGAACCCACACAATACAGGCAGACAGTTCCCTAAAGTCTTTGTTCTCTAACAAAGACTTAGAGCTGAGTGCAGGCAGAGGCATGGAATCCTCACTTTCTCCCTTTTAACACGAAGCTCAGGCTTTTCCAAGACATCAGGCCACACCTTAATGACCAAGTGCCCATCAGAAGCTTTGTGGTGAGAGATTAGATACAATTCCAGGTAAACTGGAGCCCACAGCCCCTGTTTTTCCTAATGAAGTGTGTCTGTGTGTGTGTGTGCATGTGTGTAAGAGCTGACCTTGTACTTTTTAAACCATAGCCAAAGATGCAGAAGAGCTTATTTTTTCTTTGGAGACTGTATTGCTCTTTTCTCTGGGAAATATTTGTTGGTGTTTTCTATTCACAGCACTGTACTAGGCACTGTTGGTCAGGAGGGAAGGCAGATGTTAGAGTAAATCAGATTCAGGTGCTACCACTAAGAAGCAAAGTGTATGTGGGAGGTAAGATGAGAGTGTCTGGGTTACTGCAAGAGGAGGGGGCTGAGAAAATTCCATATGAGAGGTGCCAGAAGAAGGCCACCAAGGTGACCTTGAGAACTGTGGCCCAGTTGACAATTTAAAATTACCAACGATGAAGAGAATATTGCAGTGCCTCACTGGGAGAAATGGAAAAGCAGGTCAGGCAGGGTTTTCTTAAATGCTAATTACACAGAGTCTCAAAACATAAGGGACACATGCGGGTTTATTCTTTGTCCTTTGAACCTCATTGATGTCAAAGCACTATGTCAAAGCACTTTCATGCGTGTTGTTTTATTAGCACTTTGTGATAAAACTATGACATAGCATGAATTATTATTCCCATCTGAGAGCAAAAGGAGTACAAGGCCAGACACACGAATGCCTTTGTACTCTGCCTGAGGATTGTCATTGCCAAACGATAACTTGGGCAGGAAGATGGAAAAGGTATCACACGTGGGTGCCTGGGGATCTTGATATAAGAGTTTAGATCCCAATTTCTCAGGCTGTGAGCTCTTGTCTGCCTTTGTTCTGTAAGAGTGGGAAGAGAGCCTGCTTCAAATGGATTGGAGTGTGTCCATCTCTAGCACATCGTGTTCACTGAATGTCTGATGAAGAGGGTCAAGGTGGAACTGAAGACGGTGGGGGAAACCTGTGAAGGCCTTCTCCTAAGAAGGAAGATGAATGCAAAATGATCTTTGGTGCCTGTTGGTATCTGGTCCCTTCCCCTCTAATTCTAGTCTTTTTAATTCCTACCCAGGTGTTAGGTGATCATGTCTGAAGCAGTGACTCCTGGTGATTATTTATCTTTCACTTTGGATGTCTGATCAGAATAAAGCACCCATCTTAAAGCCAAAAAGTGATAATGATGGAAAATGGGCCATGGCATGATGGGGCAGCAACATTTTCACCTGTTTGTAAAACACTGAAAAAAATGTGACCTCAGATAAGTAAGTGTCCTCCAGTGAGAAAGTAATTATTTCCCACCGACCACATGATAAGTGTACAGGTGAGTAAAACTTGGGCAGTTGAGGGAAAGTTTATCTAGACGAATGGCTGGTAATTCAGGCCCTAGAGACAGAACTAGAAGGAACTCAGATGAGGCCCATGGTCAGCTCAGCCAAGGGCAGGGTGAGGGGTGTGGGGCCATAGCATTCAGGGGCAAGTTTCCACAGGTGACTTCTTCCTTGGTCAACTCTGGTAACTTTCCACACTCACAATTTCCACCGTATTGGCACTTGGTTATCCATTCCTGACCTGCCTCTTCTCCTTGTTAATTAATTTCCTGCTTCTGATTGGAATTGCCGTGGGTGATCACTTCTGCATCTACAGGTAATCAATCCAGGGATGGGTGTACTCTTATTTTCACAGTTCTGTTTCCTGTCTTCTCAGCCCACAGAGGCACTTTCTCCTGGATGCACTCAGCACTCACACAGGGAGGAGAGAGCATCTCAGGCCCTGGAATGCCCCAGGGAAGGGGGACTGAAAGAAGGACACTTCCTAATTTGTATTTTATTTGACACTTATCTAGCATTTAATGTGCACTAGTCATTGTTGCAATTGTTTTACAAATTTAATTATTTAATCCTTACAACCACTATACTCCCCATTTTTAAAAAAACAGAAATGAAGAAACTAAGACCCAGAGAGATTGCATAACATGGCCAAAGTCACACAGCTATCAAATAGCTGAGGTAAGATTCAGATCCAGTTAGTCTGACTCTAGAACAACACTGCACAATACAAATAAGATGTAAGGCACCGATGACAAGCCCAGTACATAATTTACAATTTTGTAGTAGTCACATTAAAAACATTTTAAAAATAAACAGGGAAATTAACTGTAATAACTTATTTTCCTTAACCAATCTAAAATGTTACCATTTTGACATGTAATCAATATTGAAAAGTATTAATGTGATATATTCGTTCCTATTAACTCTTCAAAATTGTGTGTATTTCATACTTACAGCACATGTCAGTTCAGACTAGTGTCATTTCAAGTGCTTAGTAGCCACCATGCTGAGCAACGCTTCTTTAAGTCTTGCTCTTCACCAGTGGGCTATGCTGCCCCTTGGCTAAACTGCCCATGGAGCTCAGAAGGACCTCGAAGGTAGGGCTTTTAAAAGAGCTGCTGGGTAGCAGAGGTGTGGCCATGATGCACAGACACAGGGAGAAACACAGTGGGAAACATACCAGTGACACTACCACCCCCGTACATCAGGGAGCAACCCAAAGATTCCCATCCCCTTGAGAAATTGGAGAAGGCTTCTCCTACAGTTTGTGGGTATTCTGCGAGCTGGGAAAGTGTCTTCTTGAAGACTGCCCCAACCCTGTGTGTGCAGCAGATGCCTGGAGCCCAAGGAAGAGCCTTGCTCACTAAGAGTCACCACAATGAAGAAGCCACACCCATAAGGCCAACACTGTGGCAAGAAGAGAAGGAAAATGGAAAGTGTCTCCAATTTTCTCTAGTGGCTCCTGCATCTTAACTGTCCCATATTCTGTGTATCAGTCTTTTGTTATTTATTTATTTATTTTGTTGTTTTCCATTTTATTCCTTGAATGGATGAGATGTAGTTTACAAAGATAGTTGGATGATGGCAAGATGACATAAAAGACTCCAAAACATGAGGCAGAGGGGAAGTAAGAATAGGAAAGATGAATGGAATCAGGTATGAAGTGGGTTCAAAAAGTGCATCCCTTAGGGTCTTGCTTAATTGCTAGAGATGGGCTGTATTGATTGCAGTCTAAGCTTCCCAACAGCCTAGGCCAAGAGGGAAGCACAGTGGTTACAGGAATCACAGTGTAATTAAACAAAAACAAGCAGGAGCTAGAAGCGGGGTGGGGGACACTACTGTTTTAGATTCAGAGGCCTGAGAGAAGGCTATCTGAACTTCTTGAAAAGAGACATCATCCAGTCTCGATGCTATCCTCAGCAGGACACTGATGTAAAATCCTCCCTACCCTTCCATGCACCCAGAGTTTCCTTTCCTGCCCCTGTTTAGACTGAGGGCTTATCTCTAGCTATTCTATAGCTATTGTGAAGCATGCAATGCTTCCCAGATACTCAGCACTCAGATAAACTGGCTTAGTCTGGGGTCAGTTTAAATGATTTAGATCAATGCATTTTTGTGCAGAACTACTGTGAGTTCACCAAAGCCTGTCTCCTTTCCCTCCTCAACACTTACCATGAGTGCTTTTCCCAGCCTTCATTGCAACTGGGTGTGGCCTCGAGACTGAATGTGGGCAGAAGTGTTTGGAAAGTAAATGTGTTCCCTCTAAAACCCCTTTTTCCCTATCTGCTGTCTGGAAGGAAAAGGATATCAGGACCCACAGGAGGGTGGAGTCGCAGGAAAGAAGAAGCCTGGGCTCCTGGAGGCCTGGGGGAAGGATACGGAGCCGGAAAACCTTAATTGGACTGTGATGTACATGAGAAACTAACTTCCATTATGTTAAGCAACTGGGAATTCAGTATTTATCTGTTAGAACAGCTAGCATTACCTTAACGAATACAATTCCCTGTTGGGAAATACTCCCTAAACACAATTCCTCTCAATCAAGGGGAATTGAACGGTTTGAGTGGCACCAAGTTCAAGGTTATGTTCCCTGACAGCTAGCAGGAGTGCAAATATTCTCTGTTGCAGGGAAGTGGGGAGGTGTAGAACCTCATGTTTTAACAGTCACCCAAGGTGGGAGTAAGATTAACATACTCTTGTCAAAATTGTGTCACCTTACAAGAACTCCTGCCTGAATAGAAAGCTCTTTTATCTCCTTTTGGAGATAAGCCAGGATGTACCTGTGGGTAAGGCCAAGATTCTCTTCAGAAAGTCATTTTGGATCTACCTGAACACATGGGACAATGATAACCAAGGCCACACAGCTTTATACGGTGAAATCTGCTCTAATAATTTTTGCCTGAAAGAAAATGTAAAACAGCTGTAACCTTATGACTGTTGTGCCCTTAAGAACAAAACAAAACTTGCACAGTTTACCTGTCCAAGTCCCCTTCTTTTTTATTTTAAAACTACTTTATTGGCCAGGTGTGGTGGCTCATATCTGTAATCCCAGCACTTTGGGAGGCTGAGGCGGGCAGATCACGAGGTCAGGAGATCGAGACCATCCTGGCTAACACAGTGAAACCCCGTTTCCACTAAAAATACCTAGCCGGGCGTGGTGGCGGGTGCCTGTAGTCCCAGCTACTTGGGAGGCTGAGGCAGGAGAATGACATGAACCTGGGAGATGGAGCTTGCAGTGAGCCGAGATTGTGCCACTGCACTCCAACCTGGGCAACAGAGCAAGACTCCATCTCAAAAAACAACAACAACAACAACAACAACAACAGCAAAACTACTTTATTGAGGCATGGTTGACATGTAAGGAACTATATGTATATTTAATGTATACAACTTGATGAGTTTGGGAATAAGTGTCCATCCATAAAACCATCTCCCTCCTCAAGGCCACAGACATACCCATCACCTCCCAAGGCTTCCATGCCCCCTTTGCTATTATTATTATTATTTGTGGTAAGAACACTTAACATAAGATCTACCCTCTTAGCAAGTTTTAAGAATACAATACAGTGTCGTGAGCTATAAGCTGTATATGGTATAGTAGATCTCCAGAAACTGTACCCTTTGACCATCCTATCCCCATTTCCCATTTCCTCTCCCCTGACCTCCTGGCAACCACCCTTCTACTACTGCTATATGTTTGACTAATTTAGATTCCATATATAAGTGAGATCATGCACTATTTGTCTTTCTGTGCCTGGCTTATTTCACTTCACACAATGTACTACAGGTCCCTCCATGTTATTACACATGGCAGGATTTTCTTCTTTTTTAAGGCTGAATAATATTTTATTGTATACATATACTGCATTTTATGTATTCATTTATCCGTCAATGGACACTCAGATGGTGTCCCTTTCTTGACTATTGTGAATAATGCTGCAATGAACATGGGAGCGTGGTTATGTCTTTGAGATTCTAATGCTGATTTAAATTCCTCTGAATAAATACCAAGAACAAAGCTGAGGCCTCATATTTCCAGATTTCAAATTACATTACAAAGCTAAAGTAATCAAAACTGTATAGTGCTGGTATAAATATAGACACACAGACCAATGGGACAAAATAAAGAGCCAAGAAATAAATCTATGCATGTAAGGTTAACTGATTTTCAACAAGAGCACCAAGAGTACAAACTGGTGAAAGAATAGTTTCTTCAATAAATGGTGTTGGGAAAACTGGATCTCCACATGCAAAAGAGTGAAATTGGATCCTTATAACATACACAAAAATGAACTCAAAATGGACTCAAGACTTAAATGTAACACCTGAAAACATAAAACCTCTAGAAGAAAACACAGGAGAAAAGCTCTGTGACAGTGGTCTTGGAAATACATTTTTGGATATAACAGCATGAACACAGGCAACAAAAGCCAAAATAAGCAGAGTTGTGTCAAACTAGGAAGCTTCTGTACAGCAAAGGAAACAATTGGCAAAATGAAAAAAAACTACAGAGTGGCAGAAAATATTTGCAAACTATATATCTGATAAGGGGTTAATATCCAAAATGTATAAGGAACTCATACAACTCAATAGCAAAAAACCAACCAAACAAAATAAGTTAAGTCAATAAAAAATGGGCAAAGGACCTCAACAGCCATTTCTCCAAAAAAGACATGCATCAGTGATCAGGGAAATATAAATAAAAACCACAATGGATATCTCCTCATGCCTATGAAGATGGCTGTTATAAAAAAACAAACAAGAAGATAAGCATTGGCAAGGATGTGTAGAAAAGGGAACCTGGTACACTGTCGATGGGAATGCAAATTGGTATGGCCATTATGGAAAACAGTACAGAGGTTCCTCAACATTAAAAATAGAATCACCATGTGATCCAGCAATACCATTTCTGGGTATTTATTCAAGTCCAATTCTCATCCTGGGCTTTAGTTTCTAAGCATGATGAATGTTAAATGCATGTGATGGGCCAGAATTGCAATTCTACAATCTATGTGAACGATGCCAAACAAACTCTAAAGTATGTCATGTCTATAGTAAACACAATTCTGTTCCCATTGCTCTTGCAAGGTTATAAGCACAAGAGCACCAGGTAAAATCACAGAACAGGCGTTTCCAGGTGCCACGCCCACTATACAAAGTGAGATGGCTGTAATATTTATGGCTGAGGTCCTGGTGGGGAGCCTGTGGAGAAATGCTTCTCCCAGAATAACACTGTGGGCACACAGTTGTGCTTAATGACCACTGATGGGTCGTGATGGGCCCTTCTGTCATCATCACAATACATGTTAAGGGAGGCTTCCGGTTTGTGAGCCTTGCTAGTGTGCAGGGCTACTTTGCTTCTGATGAGCGCTTGTCTCTGAGGCATCTGCAGAGCTTGGTGATCTGCCCAGGAATGAGCTCATACATTCTGCAGATTCCAGGGAACAGACAAGAGCAACAGCATTGAAAGAACCAAGCGAAGGTACCGGCTAGAGTCTCTGATTCTGGGCCAGCCCTCCTGCAGTGTGGCCTGGGCAGTGGATGTCCCCACCAATGGACACAGCTATCTTTAATTTCAAACTTAACCCTGAGTGCACAGGACCTGAACTTTTGTCCTTGGAGGAGGTAAAGCCAAACTCTGGCTAAAGATTGAGAAATTCACAATAAAGAATCCCAGATATGATTTTTTCCCCCTCATTTGAACTTTCAAACATGGTCATAAATCATCCTGGATTTTTCTTCCACAGTCTGCCCTCTTCTGGGAAGGTTTTAAGATGGGGCGGGATTGTGAGCGGATGCTTCCTTACTATAGAGATTGGATGGCTGGGATAACTGGGATCCGGGGTTCATGGGGCCTATAGTCCAAAGTACATTTTACCTAAGCTCAGGGCTGTGACCTGGGGTGGGGGTACTTTCCTCTTTCTTGCCTTGCTGATTATCCATTCTCCTCAGGTGCAGGACCCTGAAGAAGGCATCCATGTCCAATTATGAGCATGCACTATTATCTCATTAGTAAGCACACAAGTCACCCAGGCATCTTTGAACCAGCAGTTCCTTCCCGAGTCAACAGGTCTGGGGCGAGGCCTGGGACCGCATGTCTAACCAACTGTCAGGGGATGCTGATGTTGCTCCAGGGACTACAAACTGCATAAGAAGGGCCCAGGGGATCATGCATAGAGTGATGTTTTGACAAGGCGTAAGTCCCCACTGCTCACCAGCGACTGCAGTGGGAGGAGGAGGGGTCTGTGACGAGAAGGGGCCGCTGTTGGTCTAAGTGGGAAGAGAGCATCCAAGAGAATGGCTGTCTGGGGCCTGTGGAGCATAACCCTGGTGGGCTTCCTTCCACTGACCTTGGCATTGTGCTTTTGTGCCTTTGCTTTTACAAGTTTGGAAGGGCCTCATTGTACCCTGTGATTGAGCTAGGTATTTAAGCTATCTGAGAATATAAGCAAGCTGGCAAAAGGCACCTGATGGAAAAGCCTGCCCCGGGGCAGAGGGGCTGCTATGCATTGTTTGCTCCCTGATGGGCATCTCAGGTCAAAGCCCAGCTCATTCTTGTCCTCTCCTCCTCCAGGGATGCTAAGGAGGGGGATACCTCCACTCTTGGAGAGGCTTGGCTCTTTGCATCCTGACATGTGCGTGTTTTCCATTTTAAAGGAAGAAATGCGTCTTGGCTGAAGGCCCATGTTTTGTCCCAGCACATCCTTTTTACCAAAAGAGCCATCCCTGGAGCTGCCAAGAGTGTTTTCGAGAAAGCCATCCAACAGTACTTTGGATGTGGGAGCATGACCTGACCGTAGACGTGGCCTTCCCCATGCCATGAACCATCCGTCAGACAGCCTGGCACATACTGTTGGTGTCTTTATTTTTACCCCCAAATGTAAAGCTGGATTCTTTCATTCTTTTTTTTCTTTTTTCCAGCTGGGAAAACTCCTGTCAGTGGATGCAGTGTCCTTTCCAGATTCAATATTATGCAAACTGCATATCGGCAAATGGAGTAAACAAATATGTCCATGAAGTTTCTGGATGCACAGAGAGAGGGGCTGTACCAATACACAGGCACAGACCTCCCGATATGCATGGGAATGGCTGAGCACCCTTGGCCAGCCCCATGGCCATCTCCACTGCCATCTCTCTCCTCTGCAACATGTTTGAGCACCTGAGATAGTAGGCCATTCTGCTGCCCAGCAGCAGAGGACAAGAGGTGGCACACACATCTAGGGGTGGCTGTAGGTTAAATTGGAGCTGTCAATGGCTGGGTCTGGGGGGTCCTTTCAGGGAATGAGGGTGAAGTTGCCCCAGCCAGTCCTGTACCTGCTCTAGGCCTGACCCTCTCCCCTTCAGCCCCACCCACAGCTATCAGGCTCCTCAACCACAGGCAAGGCTGTGGGCATTTGTGCTTTTCAGCTCTGTCTTCCCTGCCTGTCAGGTATGGACAGGAGGCATTACCCATACTGAGTCTTCCTGGTAGAGAGAATTTGGCCCAGTCCCTTTCTCATCACAGACTTCAATTTCCAGGCACAGGGAGAGTTAAAGTGTGTGTGACGGACCAAGGCTGGCTTTAGTCCTGCAGTTCTGCAAAGTGTAGGACACTTCTGCACTGTGCTGATCCCAACATGCTCCTATTGCAATAACCCTGGGAGATTAAGTACTTTTTAAAAATTTCCCTTCTAAGCAGATGAGAAAACAGATTTAAAAGGATAAGAGTGGGTTTTTTTGAAAGGCGGGCAGCAAATAATTGGCAAAGCTAGCGTTTAGACCTGGGGCTGTCTTTTAACACAAATCTCATACTTACTTTTTGCAAAATGGTACCATGTTTCCCCAAACACCCCTGCATTCAGAAAACAAACTAACAAACAAACAAACCAAAAAGGGTCAAGGACGTCTAAAAGGTCCATCTTCAAAGCCTGAAATGAAATGTTTATCTATCTGTCCTCCACATTCCACCTCTTCTACCCTGGCTGGCTTGACAGATTTTTCTTGCAGCTTCGGTCCCCTTTGTTTGTGACAGGGGATCTGCCTGCTTTCTTACATGTTTGTTTCTATGGACAGATAGAAATCAGCATGTCCTCTGCTGGTCTATGGTGGGGCAACAGGGCCTTCTCACCATCACCTACCTTGTGGGATCTGGCTTTGCAGAAGCTGTCACTCAAGTAGACTGGCTTCAGTCACTATCAAACATATTGGAAGTCTCAGAATTAAGGAAACAAATATTTGCAGCCATGCTAGTTGGGCTCCTGATAAATAGGCATGTTTGTCTTTATTGTTTTGGAAGCGTGATGAATTCTGAGATGTCAAGAGAAAATGTCCCCAGACTCAATTTCACATCCCAATCAGTGTCCTGTCCCTGGCGCCCAAGGTGTGTGTTGCAGAGCAGATGGTTGTGTTGTGGGGAGACAAGACTGAGATGAAGATGCATAACCCCCTTGCATGGGCAGCTCTGAAGAGTCTCCAGCAGCTCTCGCAGGGGAAATGCTGGGATGGGAGGTTAGTTAGGCCACAGGAGGAACAACTGAGGCCAAAGCTCTATGTGTTTAGTGGATAGACATCTTATTGTGGAGGCTATTGATGAATTGGATATCTGTGATCTGATTTTTAGCACCTAGCATGTATTTGATATTTCATATAGGTCTTTGATTATTAAATTGTAAGTAATTTTAGATCTTTCCCCTTTCCAGAATTTCACCAACTCCATTCTTTTTGAAAGTGGAGACATCAATCAACTAAAATATTCTTTGGCCAATCACTGTGCCCACTCGATGTTCAGATCCAAAGCCAATAAAATCTTTCAAGAATACCCCAGATAATACATGTTGAGGATTATTGTCAGGCTGGCTTATTTGAGTCTCCCTATTTCACCCTAAGACGTCTAAAATAGATGATAGGGACTATCCCAACAGAGTTATACCAATGAAATTATTTACCAAGAAGCAACACTAGTGAAGTGATTAATGGGTGCATTTGGAAAACTTATTTTCCCCATCACATTGCCAAAACTCCTAATCTTTTACATGTCTTATCTGGCTTTCCATGCTAGAATATATGTTGAATATACTTTTACCTCATATTGCCATGCTTGTCCCTTGGAGATGGCTTTTCAACTATTTTTCCATGTCTCTCCCATCCATGGACAAAGTGGCAAACAATGAGGTGACCCTCCATGATCCCCAGCTCCTGTTCACATCCTGTACAGTCCCTTCCCTTGAGCGTGGGCAGGACCTGTGACTTGCCTCTAACCAACAGAATATGGCAGAGGGTTGAGCTGTCACTCCCAGGATTACATTGGATTTTAGGAGACCTCCTCTTGCTAGCAGATTTAACTAGAAACTCTCCTTGCTGGCTTGATGGAATAAGTGGCCACGTTGGAAAAGCCCACAAAGGGCTCTGTGAATGGTGAGGGCCTCTAGTTACTGAGGGCAGACTCAAACCATTAGCCAACAAGAATCTGGGGCCCTCAGTCCAAAAACACTAGGGAAAATGATTCTGCCATCAACCAGAACAAGCTTGGAGGCAGAATCTTCCCCAGCTAAGCTTCCAGATGAGATCTCAGCCTGACAGATACCTCAATTGCACCTTATGAGACCCTGAGAAGAGAACCCAGCTGAGCAGACCCACAGACATTTTGAGATGATAAATGTGTGCTGGGTAAAGCCACTGAATTTAAGATAATTTGTTGTGCAATAACGGAAAAGATACGTAACACTCAGGAGTTCCTGGTCACGTGCATTGTATGACCGGCTCAGTGCTGTTACTCTGAAATCCTCCTGTGTGTCATCTGAAGCTTATTCTCTGTGTGCTCTTGAAAATGAAAACTAGGTAACTTGCTAGAGGAAAACAACAAATACTGCTGGATTTGAGGTTTATAGTTGTTAATGCCTGTGTCTATAGGCTGCCATGTCCCTTCAGAATTCCAGGTCTGAATGCCTGTGAATGCATCTTTACATGGTGGTTCCACCTCAAATGAAAAAGATCCCAAACAGAACTTCTCATCATTCAAATCTGATGCTTCTTCATCACTTTAAGCTTTAGGAAATGACACCCCTCCTCTCTGAACTTGAATCCCCAGTCTCCCCAACTTCCCATAGCCAACTGTTCCCTGGGCCCTTGCCCAGAAAAAAATGGTTCTGGGTGATTCCTGTCTTCATGTCTAGAGTAGAAAAACACCACAAAGTTCCCAAGAGTTGGGGCCTTTGTAAATTGTCCCACTGGGTTTCTATGGGGTCTTTGTGTTTTTTTTCCCAAGGGCCAAAGGCACTCTTTCATCTGAAAGATAAGAAAGTCCCAAACCTCAGACCAGAATAGCAGACAAGAAAAAATCACAAAGGCACTGGGTCCTGGAAGCGCCCCCAAGTCTCAGGTCTGTTCTAAACACAACAGAAGGGAGGTGGACTTCCACCATGGACCCAGGTCTCCTTACCTTGCCTTTCCAGTCTCTCAAAACTGCACTATTAAGGACTCAGAGAAACCATATACAAACACCCTCCTATATTATATGACATTACGTTAGCATCCAGATAAAGCCAGCCAAGGTTTATTGACTAAGGAATGTCTTCACATCCTTACTGAACTTCAGCATAGGCATGACTGCCCTTGATAAATCATAGGGCAAAATATCTCTCAGTATCTGCATTATTGGCCATAATTGAAAGCCATAAGAGTTGCATTTTTCAAATAAGTGTAATTAAAAGGAAGTGGTGTCTGTTCAGATGACAAAGCAGAAGTGTAGAAGCAGAGACGGTGCTTGTCTCTGAAAAAGTGTTACAAGCTCAGTGAGAAATGTCTTCTGGGAAAAGAGGAGGAACTGGCCCCACATACAAAAATTAAAGGGATAGGGGAAAAGACAAACCATGAAGTCGGTGCATAATATGATGGATGTAGCATGCTTCACAAGTAAGTAAAGATTGAAATGAAAGAAATATAAGGATACGAAATGTAAGATGGGTCCAGAGACAAGGTCTTTACTCAACTTCTGTGCTGTAAATTCTACTATATTTGGCAGAAATGTGAGGCGTATTTGGTCCTAAGTTTTGTAGCAGCCAATGATGAAGGAAAGAGATTCCATTGCATGAATTGCACCGCCCCCAAACCAACAAAAGCAAAAGTTACTCAGAAGAACAAATGAAGTTCTGCTTTTGAGTCCAGAGACAAAAGTTCTTCATGAAGGCAAGTGAAAAGGAGACAGGCCAGGCGCGGGGGCTCACGCCTGTAATCCCAGCACTTTGGGAGGCTGAGGTGGGCGGATCACCTGAGGTCGGGAGTTGGAGACCAGCCTGCCTGACCAACATGGAGAAACCCCGTCTCTACTAAAAATACAAAATTAGCTGGGCGAGGTGGCACATGCCTGTAATCCCAGCTACTAGGGAGGCTGAGGCAGGAGAATCGCTTGAACCCAGGAGGTGGAGGTTGCGGTGAGCTGAGACTGTGTCCCTGCACTCCAGCCTGGGCAACAAGAGCAAAACTCCATCTCAAAAAAAAAAAAAAAAAGGCGACAGTGTGATACAGTGAACGGTGTGTGCTATGACATTTAATGGTACACGCTGCTGCAAGTATAAAGTCATTCCTTATAATGTTCCTCAGCATAGGCCACTGCAGCACCAAAGTGAAGCCCCTTAAAGCAGTCGCCAAGGAGAAACAAATGATGCAATGCAGCCTCGTGATTATCTGACCGTCTGGTTTGACCCAAAGGAAGATTTTGGTCTCTGGAGGAAAGATGCTGTTCTATTCCCCTCATCAATAGTGTTATTTTCAACACCGAGCAACAGTGAATTTGACGTTCTTTTATTATAGGTTACATGTTACTTTCAGAAAATGGTCACTCAGGCTGGATATTAGGGCAACAGCCACTAAAAACTAAAAACTGTTAGTCTGATGAGAGTAGTGACCTGCCCAGTCGTGGGTGAAAGATGTACCTGAGTGCAGGTCAGTGTTCATTGCAGAGAACATCTTAGGTTCGTTTCTAAATTGTGGGCAAAGGCACAGCTGAAGCCACTTAAAAGCATTTGTTTGTGTAGGTGTCTTACTTTTTATGTGCAATTCATTCTTATGTATATTACATATTTTGTGAACATGTAAATGGCATTCATTTTGCCCATTACAACTTTCTAACTGGCTAACACTAGCATAGAAAGAAGTCGTTAATTTCTAAATAATCATTTTAATTATTTAAAAAATATTATATTTTTAATCATTTATCAATTGATTCTTTTATCTAGAGTTGTCTCATCCTTAAGTGGTAATAATTGCACCTTCTTATTTCTTGTGGTAGAACATCCTTTTCTTTTTTTTTTTAAACTTATTACACTGTCTCCTTTGACTTAGTGATATAAGGTTGAGGTTTTAAGTTTTCCACTAATATTGAACTTTCTTTGCATTCCTAGAACAATCCTTACTTACTTACGGAGCAATAAATACTGTTTTTGCTTTGCATGATCCTATGTGGTAAGGTTTTACTTTGCTACTGCAAGGTCAAATTTCTCCCTAAAAATAATGCAAAGAATTCTAGACAGGATAGGCAGGCTTTGGGCTGAGTGAAGGAAGGACTTTTTCTTCTGGGAGCCAGGAAATAGATAATGGGACAAGTTATTAGGTCAGAGTGTGTGCCTGAGGCTGGAACCTCCTGGGCTCAGTCACTTTGGCACAATGCAAGTGTTTTAAGGAAAATGCCCAGGTGTATGGAGAAAGGGGTGAATAGTCAAACAGCAGCACTGGGGGCTCAGATATTGAATAATGTGTCCTGATAACTTGTATAGCACTGGCCTCAAGCACTCCATGCTTGCACACTGGGCTACCTGGTGCTGTTGTCTGGGCCAATGAGGTTTGATCCAAGGACAAGGATGACCCCTGATACTGGGTCACATGCTTTCAGTGGAGACACTGTGTGTGTACCATGAATAACAGCAGCAGTACACTTGGCCCTCTGGTGGACTGATCAGATTTTCTAGCTTTTTTCTTCTTGTAAAACTAGTAATCAGCACTATTTGTACTCAGCGAGTGTCCTTGGGATTTTTGGAGTTTTCATGAAGATAGTGCCCAGAGAGAAGGAAAAGAGATGTTTTTGTGATAATGGGGTGGGTACTAATAGTCTTTTTTTTTTTTTTAATTTTGAAGGTTAAAGTGTGATTGTATTAGTTTTCTAGGGGCTGCCGTAACAAAGTGGCAGACCAGGTGGCTTAAACAACAGAAATGCATTTTCTTATGGCTCTGGAGGCTCGAAGTCTGAGATCAAAATTTTGACAGGATTGGCTTCTTCTGAGCCCTCTCTCTTTGGTTTGTAGATAACTGCTAATATGGTTAGGCTGTGTCCCTACCCCGAGCTCATCTTGAATTGTAATCCCCACAATCCCCAGGTGTGAAGGGAGAGACCAGGTGGAGGTCATTGAATCGTAGGGGCAGTTCTCGTGACAGGGAGAGACCAGGTGGAGGTCATTGAATCATAGGGGCAGTTCTCGTGATAGTGAGTGAGTTCTCATGAGATCTGATGGTTTTATAAGGGGCTCTTCCTCTTTTGCTCGCCATTTCTCCCTGCTGCCTTGCGGAGTTGGTGCTTTGCTTCCCCTTTGCCTTCCGCCATGATTGTAAGTTTCCTGAGGCCTCCCCAGCCATGCTGAACTGTAAGTCAATGAAACCTCTTTCCTTTGTAAATTACCCCGTCTCTGGCAGTTCTTCATAGCAGTGTGAAAACGGACTAATACAACTGCCTTCTCGCTATGTCGTCACATGTCCTTTTCTCTGTGCCTAGGTCCACATTTCCTTTTGTTATAAGGACACCAGTCATATTGCATTAGGACTCACCCTAATGACCTCATTATGACTGAATTACTTCTTTAAAGACTCAATCTCCAAATACACTCATGTCCTGAGGTACTGGGCATTAGCACTGTTGAAATTTTAAGGAGAAACAAGCCCATACAGTGATCATATTTTTTGTTGCCAGGATGGAAAGTGAAAAGTACCACTTATTTAAGCTTTTTGCTTCTACAGTCAAATGAAATCACACTGCAGTTTTCATTTTGGAATAAACTCTTTTGCCAAATTTTAGATCAAGGTCATGCTAGCTTCTTAAAAGTAGTTGACAAACTTTTCATCCTTTTCTATGCTCTGTAACAGTTTATGCAGGCTGACAAGGCCTGTCCTGCAACCGTTGGGTTGAGATATGTTTCCAAAATCAGAACATTTGGGTTTTCAGGAAGGTAATAGCATGTACTAAACATATACTACACACACACACACACACACACACACACACACACACACACACACTATAGAACACATATCTTGCCCAGTGGGGTCTGTGACAAGAGTGCGTAATAAAGCACATTAATATTTCAAAGTATAATATGTAACAATAATAGAATAAAGACCATATACATAGCTTCATATAAATTCAGGTCAAATTTTGCTGTTAAATGAGTTCTAGTCAGATTTTGCCTTTAAATGTTTTATGAAAAAATAATGTTTGAAATTTTAGAATTGTAAATAAGGAACTGCAAGTCTGGGTGGCAGTGGGATTCTCTTTCCCCTGAGAACATGAAAGTTTTACCTGGGTATAGCTTGCTTAAAAACAGATATATTTGGCCTGAGCAACATAGGGAGACCCCATCTCTACAACAACAATAAAAACAAAAAACATAATCGGGTGTGGGGGCACTTGCCTGTGGTTCCAACTACTTGGGAGGCTAAGGTAGGAGTATTGCTTGAGCTTGGGAGGTCAAGGCTGCAGTGAGCTGTGATTGTGCCACTGCACTGCAGCCTGGGTGATGGAGTGAGACTCTGTCTCAAAAAAAGATATATATATCTATATATATATATAGATATAGATACACACATATACATATAAAATACATATTGGGATGGTTGATTTTATGTATCAACTTGACTGAGCTAAGGATGCTCAGATAGCTGGTAAAATCTTATTTCTGGAGGTATCTGTGAAGGTGTTTCCAGAAGAGACTAGCATTTGAATAGGTAGACTGAGTACAGCAGATTGTCCTCACCAATGTGGGTGGGCATCGTGTAATCCATTGAGGAATTGAACAGAAAAAAAAGGCAGAAGAGGATGAGCTGCTTGAGCTGGACCATCCGTCTTCTCCTGCCCTCAGATATTGGTGCTCTTGGGCCTTTGGATTTGCTCTGGGATGGACATCATCAGTCCCCCAGTTATCCGGGCTTCTGACTCATACTGTGACTTATACCATTGGCTTCCCTGGTTCTCAGGCCTTTGAGCTTGGACTGGAACTACACCACCAGATTTCCTGGGCCTCTAGCTTAGAAACAAGAGATCATGGGACTTCTCAGCCTACATAATCACATGAGCCAATCCCTCATAATCTTTCTATGTATCTGTATGTACATGGAATATACATTTTTACGCATTCCAAAATTTCTATGGAATATAAATCCTTTTAAATTCTATATACATACATATATATAGAAAGATTTGTCATTACATAAAATAAGGCTTATATATATGTTTATAAATATATATAATTGGTGTTTCATTGGAGAACCCTAATATGTGTATACATAATATAATATATACACACATGCAAATGTATGTACAGGCGTATATTCTGTGGCAACTCTTTCAGGTTGTCTGATTAATGAGCTACTTGGGTTAATTCTTGAGTCATTTGTGGTAATTTATAGATTTTCTAGAAACTTTCATGGCAATTATCAAATTTATTCGTAGAGTAGAAATAATACTCATTTAATTTCTAAAATATAAGCTTCATATTTACTTTAAATATACATGATTTAAATGTGATTTAATCACTTTTTCTTAATTATATCAACTATATATTGTTAAAAAGTCAACTCTTAAAATTATTTCTGGGGGAGATTTTATTAAGAATAATTCATTTGTAATATCTTTCTTTTTAAAAAAAAAATTCCTGATAATACTGTGCTCTTTTTCTGATTTCCTGAGCTAGATGCTTAGCTTATGTATTTCATCCCTTGTTGAAGCAATAAAATCGAGTCTCCAAATTTTTCTGAGTACTGCTTTGGTCTCATTCTCTAAGTCTGATGTGTAGTTATAAACTGCAGGCTTAATGAACTCAAAAGGCCAGTGTCTCCACCCTTTCTTCTGACCCCATCTCTTCCTGCCATCTTCAAAAGTCGCCACTATTGATTTCCCTTTTCTTTCCTGTGTGTTCATCCTCTTCTTTTGATTGTAATTCTTTCCACTGGATTTTTTTTTTTTTCAAAATCTCATTCTCTCCTATTAAAAACCCCAAACAAACAAAAGCCTTTTCCTGGATCTGCACTGTCTCCTTTCACAGTTGAAATGTCAAGAGCTGTGGCGTGCAGTTTGACTTAGTGACTCTCGGAGGTGTGGCACTTTTAGTGATGACACGTCCAATCAGTGACAATGGCCATGGGTGGCTGGGGCAGAGAGAAGGTCAATGAAGATGAAGTTGAGGTGAAGGAACCAAGGTCCCTGTATTGGATCAGGATCTTGTGTCCACCCAGAATGATGGAAGGACTCAGAGGAAAAGTCCTGTGTGTGCCTGAATGAGAAAGTGGAGGAGAAAGATAAGAAGGCGAATGGAGGTGAAAAGGAGGGAAAGGTTATAAAGCCACATTGTGCCATCACCAAAAGAGCAGTGGTTTTTGGGTGTGTATGTGTGTGTATGTGTGTGTGTGTGTTTTCTTTAAAAATAATTTATTGAGATGAAATTCACAGAACATAAAATCGATCATTTTAAAGTGAACAATTTAGTGGCATTTAGCACATCCACGATGTTGTGCAATCTCATCTCTACGTAAGTGCAAAACATTCCCATCACTCCAGGGTGAAATGTCTTGCCTCTTTGTCATCTTAACAATTTTTAAGCATACATTTCAGAGGTATTAAATATATTCATAGCATTGTGTAATGCTTTTGATTTTGTTTTTCTTGGCTTTGGTTTGTCTTTAGGGAAAGCATGCTTTGTCTTAATTCTGTCTTATTTTTTGGTTTTATCTTATTTATGGCTCCTTTTTTGGGGGGTTCTTTTGCTGTATTTTTCTTTGTGATCCATATTTTCTGGCTTTATTTCTGAAAATTTCTATGGAATATAAACCCTTTTAAATTCTATTAATGGTTATATTACAGTAAAATCTTACATATCATTTATTATCAATGCCAAGAATCCATGAACTCTCTGCCATCTCAGATGCCTGTTATTTTCTTTCTCACTGTTTCCCTGCACTTGATCCCCCATCTCTGTTCTGCAGTGCATGTTGATAAATTATTACTTTTTACTAAGTTTCATGTTGTTAAATTGAGTTTTTTACATTATGTATATTCTACCAGACGGATTATCTATGACATTTGTATTCTGTTTTGTGACTACATTTATAACAATTACATAGAACTACTTTTTAGTGTAAATTATTTCAGTGCTTACCTAGAAAGGTAGGAAGGAGAGAGCTGGAGAGACAGACAAACATTAGTTCACATTCTAGCCAAGAGACCTTGGCTCTAGCCCTAGATTAAGCACCTTGGGTGCCTCATAGGGATTTGGGAAAGGTGTCTTTTTATCTTTTATCTCATCTCCCCACATGTGGTATCCTTGGCCACATGACTTACTCTGTCTACAATGATAGCAGACCTGCTGATAGGGCCAGAGGCTAAAAATGACACCAATGTCAACCATTCCTAAGCTTGAGTCACCACACATCCTAACAGAGAGGCAGAGCCCTGTCAAATCTCTCTAGCTTCATTACTGCCCATTTTTTCTTTGCAAGATCCATAAGACCCTTCCAAGGTAGTTTTGGTCTTGGATATTTGTCTCACAAGTACTGTCTTAGTCCATTTTCTGTTGCTATAACAGAATACCACAGACTGGTTAATTTATTTTAAAAAGAAATATATTGTTTACAGTTTTGGAGGCTGGGAAGTCCAAGGTCAAGGGGCTACATCTGCTGAGGGACTTCTTACTGTGTTGTAACGTAGCAAAGACATCACCAGGCCACAGAGTAAGAGCCTATGTCAGCTCAGTTCTCTCTTCCTCTTCTTATAAAGCCACCAGTCCCATCATGGGGGCCCTACCCTGATGACCTTGTCTAATCCTAATTATCTCCTAAAGGCTCCATCTCCAATCAACATATGAACTTGGGGATGAAATTTCTAGTATGTAAAATTTCACTCAAATCGGAGCAAGACAAGTACAGTTTATTAAGAGTCAAACTCTCCTGGAAGAACTCCAGGTATTTTCCCAGGATTTTTCAGTATTTATGTATTTTCTCCCATCTTTATTTGGGTTGATGCATGTTTGAGAAGTTTCCTGGAAACAATCTGCAGATGTCCTGGCAGGATGGCCATGTTCCAGGTGGGGATTTCAGTGTGTGTACCTCTGGACTCACTGCAGGAATGACGGTAAATGCTTCTGGCCTGCCTTTATCTCAGTGGTACACTCACTAGTTATGGTCCTCATGGGGGATATAGCACATGTCTGGATGTACCAGGTGCTAAAGGCACTTCAGATGCTTTCTTGGGATGCCATTAGGGTCTCATTCTGAGTGGGTCTGTGTGGGTGAACTCCTCTCATTCAGGGTTGTAGGCTCCTTGAGTGTAAGATGGTACTTGATTCTTCTCCAAGGAAAAAACTTGAGGGACAGGACAAAAAATTGAGTTCATATTTGGGTTGCCATAAGTTAATGTTGGCGTTTTTTTGAAGAATTTAAGAAAACATAAAAGCCTGGATCCATTGGAATTAATTCACTAGTTTGGGTTCTTTTGATTACTCTTTTAAAAAAGGTATTTGTTTGTGTATGTTTGTGTGTGTTTCTTGTTCACGGACCCACTCATGCTGTTTAACTTTAGAGTTGGGGGCTACATCTTACAGCAATACAGCTTTAAGTGGGGCCCATGGCTGGATAGCATCAGCATCTCTTGGAAGCTTATTTGAAATGTAAATTCTCAGGTCCTAATCTACACCTACTGAATCAGAAACAGGTTGGGCCCCAGCAATCTGTATTTTAACAAGTCCTCCAAAAGATTACGGTGCACATTAAAGAATGAGAGCCACTGTTTTGAAGATGATTCAGTTTACTTTTCTCAATCTGCATATAAGGTATTAAGAACCCCCCAGCCCCCTGCCCAGAGGGGAAGTGATTTACCCAAGATCGCATGCCCTGTCAGATTGAGGGCTAGAACCCGGGTATCACCCATGAAAGCAGCTGCCGTCAAGTCTGGAATATAAGAGATACTCAATAAATTAGCTCTCCTTCCTCTTGCTTCTGCCTCTCCATAGGGGCAGCAGGGCATAATCAGCTAGGGGTATATTGAGGTCTTTCAATGCTCTTTTCTTGCTCTTCCTAATGCAAATGCAACCCACAGGCACATGCTGTAAACTCGCTGTGTATCCAAGAGCAAGCCACCTTGCCCCTCTGGGCCTCAGTTTACCCATTGTCATAATGAGAAAATGAAGGGTTTGCTGGGCTGTCTAACATCCCTTTCAGATCTGACTTCTTAAGGCCCCATGACAGGCTCTGACACACACGCTTCTGCAGTTGGCTATCAGCGGCCATCTGGCAATTAGCAGTCTCTGAGGCAGCTAATCCCACTCTGAGCTGGATTAAAGCAGAAGTTTAAAACATGGAGATAGGCAGGTGATTTCTGTTAGAGTCTTTGGGTCCCACTGTCCCTGGCAGCCCAGTGATGGAGGACAGACAAGCTGATTTCTTTCCTTATCTCTCTTGGGAGGCTCAGCGGAGCCAGATCAGCTTTGCAGAGGGGCATCCTGTGCTGGGAGATGTCCTGGGCTGCAGGAGGTGCCAGGTGAGCTCCAGGAGCCCAACCCCAGTAACATAGGGCATGGCTGGGCTGGCTCGGGGAGAACGAGGACAGGGCCAGCCAAGTTCTGTATCACCAAAAGCAGGTGCAGTGCAGAACCTGGGACAGAGGGGCCAGAATCACTTTGGGCCATGGCTCCCAGATGCCACGAAGGGCCTTGGGGTGGTAGCTGACAAGCTCTAAGCTCCTCTGTGGTGTCCTCTCTTCAGGCAACATGGTCAGAAACCAAACCCGTGTGTTTGTTCATTGCCTGAGGAGATAATTAACTTATCTCCACAGAGGGCCTTGATTACATTCCTAACATGATCAGAATGAGAAGTCTGAACTTGGAAACGCTGGTGGTGGTGGGGAGGTATTTGCAATGGTTGGCTGAGGAGCCGCTTGTTCAGAAATTGGGCGCATAATCAAACAAATGCCTCTTTTCCTAATTGTTGATAAAAATCAGCTACTATGGCAGATCCAGGGACTCACTCCTGAGACAACACATTACTTAAGGTGAGCATGCATCTGAATATGTTAGTGTGATCTAAAAACATTTCACATAGCTTCAGTTTAAAAACAAATTGTGCTCATTGTGAATTTTATAGACAGCCAGGCATAGGGAGTATGATTTACTGCCTGCATTTTGTGGCTGGCTTGTTACAACTATCAGAAACCACCTTTCACAAATAATTACTCAGGTTAGGTATCTTATTGGACACTTACTATGTGCATCTTTGTGCCAGGTGCCATGGGACCAAAGTAGACATGGTCCCTACCTTTGGGGAGTTTCCTGCTTATCCTCATAGAAAAGTTTTAGAGCATACTCCTGAACCCTGAGTTGTGCAGTTTATTCTGTGAGGGCCACGGATGTTCAACTGATGGAGAAATCAGAGTAGAACAGAAAATAATAGCTAATGCTTCTTGAGAGCTTACCTGTGCCAGGCACAGTGCTATGCAATATTCCACTTAATTCTCACAACCATTTTTTGAAGTAGCTGCCATTACTATTACTCCTGTTTTATGTATTAGAAAACTGCAACCCAGAGAGGTTAAGTACCTGCACCAAGGTGGGCAAGAAGCAGAACCAGGAAGTGCACTGAGGTTTGTAGATGTTCAGAGTCTGTGCTCTCTATACTCAGGCTACAGAG
Organism: Homo sapiens; assembly: GCF_000001405.40. Lineage (NCBI taxonomy): Eukaryota > Metazoa > Chordata > Mammalia > Primates > Hominidae > Homo > Homo sapiens. The sequence continues at coordinate 22,994,434 of NC_000002.12, read as the reverse complement.
GGATTGGCTTCGGAAAGCTACACCTGCCCTCTCCCTACTCACCTCTACCCTGCACAGGTGCAGACAGCCACACAACCTCTGGCTCCTACTTGAGTTGGTTCGTGCCCCAGGGCTTGTGTCGCAGCTTCACAGGCTCTCATCTCATTGCATAGCTTTCTCTTTCCCATTATTCAGGTCTCTGATGAAATATCTACTCCTTACAGAGGCCTCCACTGGCCAGCCTATCTAAAATAAGGCACTCCCCTCAATCATTTTTGAATATTTTATTCTATCCAGTTTTTGTAGAAATTACCATTATCTGAAATTAAATTATTTGTACATTTGTTCTCTTGTTAAATGTCTCCTTGATTCTTTTACCAGAAGGCAAGATAAAGAATCCTTGGATCTTGCAGTTCTTGAAGCACTGTGATATTAAACTTTCCAACAGTTTAGGGAAATGGACAGCTTAGGTGCTTTTATGTCCACTTTCTGACAAAGATTTTGCAGCCCAGCGAGCTGAACCAACTTATTCAAGGTCACATACCTGGTTAATGGCAGAGGTAGAACTGTCCCATTCATGAGCCTTCTGACCCCTGGCCCAGTGTTCTTTTACCTGTACTGGGAAAGCCCATTCCATGTGACATACAATAACCAAACTCAATCATCATTTTAGAGTCCTAGAAACCAGGAAGTTGCTGAATCTACCAATAACACTGACTTAAAGCTTCCTGTGAGTTCTTTTACCACTCTCATCCTCCAAAATGTCGTATCAAGTGGGACAACATAAGACAGCTCTAGTTGATGAGAAATTAGATATCTGAAGATTTGAGATAGAGCAAATTATGAAACAAAGAAAGCACATTTTGTTAATTCATTCATATGCCCACCTTACTCCACAAGGTTTCAGTCTAGCTACAGAAATAAGATACATAAGTAAGTCAGAGTAAAAGAAGAAAGAAAAACTAGCTGGAAACATAGCATGGTCCAGGAATGAGACCAAGAACACAGATTCTGAAGACCTACCACAGTGAATTGGACACAGTGGAGGCTCTAAATTTCCTAGCATGTGTTCTCAAAAGAAAAAAAATACTTGGTTGTTACATAATTCGAAGTGTCTTTCCATAAAAACAGAACAATTACCTAGGATAAAAACAGCCATTTCATTTTCTAAACTGGAGGTTCATTTTTCTTGAAAGAAATGTCTCTGGTAGACTGTTTCTCAGTCTAAACCTCTGAACTTGTTGATAGCAATACAAACCTCACTCTTCCATTGAGAATTACTGATGCACAGGAAATAGATTTATGTTCTAGCTACTCCCATTAACTAGGACAATTTTGTTGACCTTTACTTTCTGTAGATTGTAGTAAAAATAGATACTGCTTTATTTTTCAAGTACAGAATTACACTATCCCATTCCCCAGAGATACTGGTACACCCCTTCCATGTAGCAAGGTGTTGCTTCTCATTCAGCTACCACCACAGTAACTTGATGTAGGTAAGAGTCATCAACAGATGTTGAAACTCTTGGGCAAAAATTTGACGAGAAACAGGATATTTGCTTAATCTCAAAATATGTCCACTTATTAAAAAGGGGAAAGAGCAATTTTATGATGAATATCACCTCACCTTAACCAATAGATTTTTAGGACAAATTAGTATGTGCTTCCTGATACAATACACTGAGAAAGATTGATTCTGTGTATTCCTGCCAAGAATGTGTAATCTGAGTGCAATTCTGAAGAAACATCAGACAAAACCAAGTCATTCTATAAAATAACCGACTTGTGCTCTTTAATAAGTGTAAAGGTTAGACTAAACAAAGAGACGCAGGTAATGTTTCAGATGAGAAGTCAAAGAGGCATGACAATGGAATGCAGTGTGTGATCCTGGATTGGATCTGGGACAAGAATTTCCTTTTTCTTTTTTCTTTAGTTTTTTTTTTTTTTTTTAATATGAAAGTTGTTATTGGGACAATTGGCAACCTTTGGATAAGATCTATAGATTAGATACATATTGATTTTGATAATTTTATTCTAATTGTGAAAAAGAGTACCCAAAATATACACTGAAGTTTTAGGGTTATATAAATTTGCAACTTCTTCCCAAATGATCAAACTACCTATACATCTATAACTATATCTATTCTATCTATCTTACACACACATACACACACTTACATGAGAGAGAGAAAGAGGGAATGTGGTAAAACATTAACAGTTGTCGAATCTGAAAGAAGGGTATCTGAAGTTCCTTTGGTTCTTCTTGTATTCTTTTTTTTTTTTCTGTAAATTTGAAATCACTTAAAAATAGTTACGACCATAATAAAGAATGACAGATCTAATTAGGGGTTTTAAGAGGTCCTTGGCTAACAGGCTACAACTCCACCTACAGGTGGGAGGAGCATCTGTACACCAGAGAGCAAATGCCAATCAAATGTCAGGCAGCATTTTCACAGACAATATTTGCCATTTCCAGGACATTTTAATTGACTGACTTTGTAAAGTCATTCCACCTCAGTAGTAGGGTCCTGTCTCCAATTTTTATTGCGATAGAATTCCTTTTTAGCATAGAGGAAAATGACATTCTAAGAAGGATTTAAGTATTTCTCACCTTAAAATATCCTTGTTAATTATCAGCATCATCCACTGCCTCTTTATTACTGTTATTTATATCTCACTGGGAGGATTTCCACAAGGATATTTCAGTGGCCTTTCATCACCTCTTCTTGATATATTTTCTTTTCCTCTGCTTTTTCTTCCAAATTTTTGTATTTTATTTTATGCCGACAGTTTTATAAGGAATGGTTTTAATAGGTACATGTTGTAAAATGGAAATATTTTACTAGGATATTACATAAAATACACAGGAGAAACTAGGTTATAAATTATATTTTTATTGTAAGGCTTTACTGCAAATAAGTTCACATATACAATCTTTTATTTATGATAAGAGCAAATTCTTTTTACTTACAGCTGCTTTTGAATTTGGTGCTTCAGTAAGGAAGCTTATGTGTAGCTACATAAAAGAAGGTTCTGTTTTGATGAAAAATGAAATCTCTTATTTAGGGAATGTTATTTTTCTTGTTGACTTATAAAAGTAGAGAAAAGATTAGGTGGTTGTGCTGGCAAATGGGAGGAGGGAGTCAGCCTCTGTAAGAAAAGGTTAGACTTGGAGAGGGGCATATATGGTCATCTTTCAACAGGGCTTCAATGACAGGGTATCCTCAACGTATCCTTAATCTACCCCCACCCAATCTAACCTCTCAAGCTCTGGCCTCCTCAGTCTTTCCGTTTACTTTGAGAAAAACGCACTAATGAGCTGAGACCCTGATACTCCCATAAAACAAGTTTTTCCTGCTCATGGAAGCAAATGGGATTATAGTATGTGAATATCATCTATTGTTTCTAAACAATAATGCAGAGCTCTGTGTGCCCTTCCCCAGAGATAAGAGATACCTTTCACAAAGTTGAACCTTTGCTACAAGGATTATACAATTCCAAATTTCCTGCTTAAGAATTTTCTTTGTTTAGAAATCATGCATGCTTAGTTTATATTTTTTCATTTAACATATAAAGAATTTTAAACCTTGGGGTCCCAAGCAATCACTGGGTGCCACAATGCACTCACCTTTCTACTCTGAGGGAAACAATTGGAGTGGTCAGACACTCCCTTCATATAAGGTAGTAGCATGAATTTGCTCAGACTGGCTCAGCTCTGTTGCAAGGAAACTCCTCATCTGAACCCAACATGTTTTGAACTAGTAGAGAGTCCAGGTTTACCTGGACAATTGAGGAATCACCCTCATCAGCCACTCTTAGGCAGACGGCAAGATCAGCACAGGTAAATCCTGGTATTGTCTGGCCCTGCATTTGATTGGGAATAAAAAAGCTAAAGAAATTGCATAGCCTGTCTCTGTTTCTTGCAGACTTGAAATTTCTATCTCATTGAATTAGGGAAGTAACTGAAATGCAGTCTTGCCCCTTGAGAGGAGGTGTGCCTAACTTTGGCAGGCCATGAAAAATGTCCTGTTGGAAACTGAAACTCAACAAATAAGACTCTTTCATTTAATGGTCTATCCGTAAGCATTTATTGAGTCTCCTTTCCTGGCTTGTATTCCTTCGCCAAAAATCTCCTCCCCTTAATTTCCTGTTTCTGTTAAATGCACCCTCATTTTTCCTGCTCCTAGGGTGAACTTAAGCAACAGCAACCTCTGAAATGCAAAATTTCAGGGAATGATTCTTTTTTTTTTTTTTTCCTCAGCAAGGCAAATTTATTTCTTTTTTGTTTTGTTTTTTTTTTAAATTATACTTTAAGTTTTAGGGTACATGTGCACATTGTGCAGGTTAGTTACATATGTATACATGTGCCATGCTGGTGCACTGCACCCACTAACTCGTCATCTAGCGTTAGGTATATCTCCCAGTGCTATCCCTCCCCACTCCCCCCACCCCACCACAGTCCCCAGAGTGTGATATTCCCCTTCCTGTGTCCATGTGATCTCATTGTTCAATTCCCACCTATGAGTGAGAATATGCGGTGTTCGGTTTTTTGTTCTTGCGATGGTTTACTGAGAATGATGATTTCCAATTTCATCCATGTCCCTACAAAGGACATGAACTCATCATTTTTTATGGCTGCGTAGTATTCCATGGTGTATATGTGCCACATTTTCTTAATCCAGTCTATCATTGTTGGACATTTGGGTTGGTTCCAAGTCTTTGCTATTGTGAATAATGCCGCAATAAACATACGTGTGCATGTGTCTTTATAGCAGCATGATTTATAGTCCTTTGGGTATATACCCAGTAATGGGATGGCTGGGTCAAATGGTATTTCTAGGTCTAGGTCCCTGAGGAATCGCCACACTGACTTCCACAATTGTTGAACTAGTTTACAGTCCCATCAACAGTGTAAAACTGTTCCTATTTCTCCACATCCTCTCCAGCACCTGTTGTTTCCTGACTTTTTAATGATTGCCATTCTAACTGGTGTGAGATGGTATCTCATTGTGGTTTTGATTTGCATTTCTCTGATGGCCAGTGATGATGAGCATTTTTTCATGTGTTTTTTGGCTGCATAAATGTCTTCTTTTGAGAAGTGTCTGTCCATGTCCTTTGCCCACTTTTTGATGGGGTTGTTTGTTTTTTTCTTGTAAATTTGTTTGAGTTCATTGTAGATTCTGGATATTAGCCCTTTGTCAGATGAGTAGGTTGTGAAAATTTCACTCTGATGGTAGTTTCTTTTGCTGTGCAGAAGCTCTTTAGTTTAATTAGATCCCATTTGTCAATTTTGGCTTTTGTTGCCATTGCTTTTGGTGTTTTAGACATGAAGTCCTTGCCCACGCCTATGTCCTGAATGGTAATGCCTAGATTTTCTTCTAGGGTTTTTATGGTTTTAGGTCTAACGTTTAAGTCTTTAATCCATCTTGAATTGATTTTTGTATAAGGTGTAAGGAAGGGATCCAGTTTCAGCTTTCTGCATATGGCTAGCCAGTTTTCCCAGCACCATTTATTAAACAGGGAATCCTTTCCCCATTGCTTGTTTTTTCTCAGGTTTGTCAAAGATCAGATAGTTGTAGATATGCGGCCTTATTTCTGAGGGCTCTGTTCTGTTCCATTGATCTATATCTCTGTTTTGGTACCAGTACCATGCTGTTTTGGTTACTGTGGCCTTGTAGTATAGTTTGAAGTCAGGTAGTGTGATGCCTCCAGCTTTGTTCTTTTGGCTTAGGATTGCCTTGGCAATGCAGGCTCTTTTTTGGTTCCATATGAACTTTAAAGTAGTTTTTTCCAATTCTGTGAAGAAAGTCATTGGTAGCTTGATGGGGATGGCATTGAATCTATAAATTACCTTGGGCAGTATGGCCATTTTCATGATATTGCTTCTTCCTACCCATGAGCATGGAATGTTCTTCCATTTGTTTGTATCCTCTTTTATTTCCTTGAGCAGTGGTTTGTAGTTCTCCTTGAAGAGGTCCTTCACATCCCTTGTAAGTTGGATTCCTAGGTATTTTGTTCTCTTTGAAGCAATTGTGAATGGGAGTTCACTCATGATTTGGCTCTCTGTTTGTCTGTTGTTGGTGTATAAGAATGCTTGTGATTTGTGTACATTGATTTTGTATCCTGAGACTTTGCTGAAGTTGCTTATCAGCTTAAGGAGATTTTGGACTGAGACAATGGGGTTTTCTAGATGTACAATCATGTGGTCTGCAAACAGGGACAATTTGACTTCCTCTTTTCCTAATTGAATACCCTTTATTTCCTTCTCCTGCCTAATTGCCCTGGCCAGAACTTCCAACACTATGTTGAATAGGAGTGGTGAGAGAGGGCATCCCTGTCTTGTGCCAGTTTTCAAAGGGAATGCTTCCAGTTTTTGCCCATTCAGTATGATATTGGCTGTGGGTTTGTCATAGATAGCTCTTATTATTTTGAGATACGTCCCATCAATACCTAATTTATTGAGAGTTTTTAGCATGAAGGGTTGTTGAATTTTGTCAAAGGCTTTTTCTGCATCTATTGAGATAATCATGTGGTTTTTGTCTTTGGCTCTGTTTATATGCTGGATTACATTTATTGATTTGCGTATATTGAACCCGCCTTGCATCCCAGGGATGAAGCCCACTTGATTGTGGTGGATAAGCTTTTTGATGTGCTGCTGTATTCGTTTTGCCAGTATTTTATTGAGGATTTTTGCATCAATGTTCATCAAGGATATTGGTCTAAAATTCTCTTTTTTGGTTGTGTCTCTGCCTGGCTTTGGTATCAGAATGATGCTGGCCTCATAAAATGAGTTAGGGAGGATTCCCTCTTTTTCTATTGATTGGAATAGTTTCAGAAGGAATGGTACCAGTTCCTCCTTGTATCTGTGGTAGAATTCGGCTGTGAATCAATCTGGTCCTGGACTCTTTTTGGTTGGTAAACTACTGATTATTGCCACAATTTCAGCTCCTGTTATTGGTCTATTCAGAGATTCAACTTCTTCCTGGTTTAGTCTTGGGAGAGTGTATGTGTCGAGGAATGTATCCATTTCTTCTAGATTTTCTAGTTTATTTGTGTAGAGGTGTTTGTAGTATTCTCTGATGGTAGTTTGTATTTCTGTGGGATTGGTGGTGTTATCCCCTTTATCATTTTTTATTGTGTGTATTTGATTCTTCTCTCTTTTTTTCTTTATTAGTCTTGCTAGGGGTCTATCAATTTTGTTGATCCTTTCAAAAAACCAGCTCCTGGATTCATTAATTTTTTGAAGGGTTTTTTGTGTCTCTATTTCCTTCAGTTCTGCTCTGATTTTAGTTATTTCTTGCCTTCTGCTAGCTTTTGAATGTGTTTGCTCTTGCTTTTCTAGTTCTTTTAATTGTGATGTTAGGGTGTCAATTTTGGATCTTTCCTGCTTTCTCTTGTGGGCATTTAGTGCTATAAATTTCCCTCTACACACTGCTTTGAATGTGTCCCAGAGATTCTGGTATGTTGTGTCTTTGTTCTCATTGGTTTCAAAGAACATCTTTATTTCTGCCTTCATTTCGTTATGTATCCAGTAGTCATTCAGGAGCAGGTTGTTCAGTTTCCATGTAGTTGAGTGGTTTTGAGTGAGATTCTTAATCCTGAGTTCTAGTTTGATTGCACTGTGGTCTGAGAGATAGTTTGTTATAATTTCTGTTCTTTTACATTTGCTGAGGAGTGCTTTACTTCCAACTATGTGGTCAATTTTGGAATAGGTGTGGTGTGGTGCTGAAAAAAATGTATATTCTGTTGATTTGGGGTGGAGAGTTCTGTAGATGTCTATTAGGTCCGCTTGGTGCAGAGCTGAGTTCAATTCCTGGGTATCCTTGTTAACTGTCTGTCTCGTTGATCTGTCTAATGTTGACAGTGGGGTGTTAAAGTCTCCCATTATTAATGTGTGGGAGTCTAAGTCTGTTTGTAGGTCACTCAGGACTTGCTTTATGAATCTGGGTGCTCCTGTATTGGGTGCATGTATATTTAGGAGAGTTAGCTCTTCTTGTTGAATTGATCCCTTTACCATTATGTAATGGCCTTCTTTGTCTCTTTTGATCTTTGTTGGTTTAAAGTCTGTTTTATCAGAGACTAGGATTGCAACCCCTGCCTTCTTTTGTTTTCCATTTGCTTGGTAGATCTTCCTCCATCCTTTTATTCTGAGCCTATATGTGTCTCTGCATGTGAGATGGGTTTCCTGAATACAGCACAACGATGGGTCTTGACTCTTTATCCAACTTGCCAGTCTGTGTCTTTTAATTGGAGAATTTAGTCCATTTACATTTAAAGTTAATATTGTTATGTGTGAATTTGATCCTGTCATTATGATGTTAGCTGGTGATTTTGCTCATTAGTTGATGCAGTTTCTTCCTAGTCTCGATGGTCTTTACATTTTGGCATGATTTTGCAGTGGCTGGTACCAGTTGTTCCTTTCCATGTTTAGCGCTTCCTTCAGGAGCTCTTTTAGGGCAGGCCTGGTGGTGACAAAATCTCTCAGCATTTGCTTGTCTGTAAAGTATTTTATTTCTCCTTCACTTATGAAGCTTCGTTTGGCTGGATATGAAATTCTGGGTTGAAAATTCTTTTCTTTAAGAATGTTGAATATTGGCCCCCACTCTCTTCTGGCTTGTAGAGTTTCTGCCAAGAGATAAGCTGTTAGTCTGATGGGCTTCCTTTTGAGGGTAACCCAACCTTTCTCTCTGGCTGCCCTTAACATTTGTTCCTTCATTTCAACTTTGGTGAATCTGACAATTATGTGTCTTGGAGTTGCTCTTCTCGAGGAGTATCTTTGTGGCTTTCTCTGTATTTCCTGTATCTGAACGTTGGCCTGCCTTGCTAGATTGGGGAAGTTCTCCTGGATAATATCCTGCAGAGTGTTTTCCAACTTGGTTCCATTCTCCCCATCACTTTCAGGTACACCAATCAGACGTAGATTTGGTCTTTTCACATAGTCCCATATTTCTTGGAGGCTTTGCTCATTTCTTTTTATTCTTTTTTCTCTAAACTTCCCTTCTCGCTTCATTTCATTCATTTCATCTTCCATTGCTGATACCCTTTCTTCCAGTTGATCGCATCGTCTCCTGAGGCTTCTGCATTCTTCACGTAGTTCTCGAGCCTTGGTTTTCAGCTCCATCAGCTCCTTTAAGCACTTCTCTGTATTGTTTATTCTAGTTATACATTCTTCTAAATTTTTTTCAAAGTTTTCAACTTCTTTGCCTTTGGTTTGAATGTCCTCCCGTAGCTCAGAGTAATTTGATCGTCTGAAGCCTTCTTCTCTCAGCTCGTCAAAGTCATTCTCCATCCAGCTTTGTTCCGTTGCTGGTGAGGAACTGCGTTCCTTTGGAGGAGGAGAGGCGCTCTGCGTTTTAGAGTTTCCAGTTTTTCTGTTTTGTTTTTTCCCCATCTTTGTGGTTTTATCTACTTTTGGTCTTTGCTGATGGTGATGTACAGATGGGTTTTTGGTGTGGATGTCCTTTCTGTTTGTTAGTTTTCCTTCTAACAGACAGGACCCTCAGCTGCAGGTCTGTTGGAATACCCTGCCGTGTGAGGTGTCAGTGTGCTCCTGCTGGGGGGTGCCTCCCAGATAGGCTGCTCGGGGGTCAGGGGTCAGGGGTCAGGGACCCACTTGAGGAGGCAGTCTGCCTGTTCTCAGATCTCCAGCTGCGTGCTGGGAGAACCACTGCTCTCTTCAAAGCTGTCAGACAGGGACATGTAAGTCTGCAGAGGTTACTGCTGTCTTTTTGTTTGTCTGTGCCTTGCCCCCAGAGGTGGAGCCTATAGAGGCAGGCAGGCCTCCTTGAGCTGTGGTGGGCTCCACCCAGTTTGAGCTTCCTGGCTGCTTTGTTTACCTAAGCAAGCCTGGGCAATGGCGGGCGCCCCTCCCCCAGCCTCGCTGCCGCCTTGCAGTTTGATCTCAGACTGCTGTGCTAGCAATCAGCGAGACTCCGTGGGCGTAGGACCCTCCGAGCCAGGTGCAGGATATAATCTCGTGGTGCGCCGTTTTTTAAGCTGGTCCAAAAAGCGCAATATTCGGGTGGGAGTGACCCGATTTTCCAGGTGCGTCCGTCACCTCTTTCTTTGACTCGGAAAGGGAACTCCCTGACCCCTTGCACTTCCCAAGTGAGGCAGTGCCTCGCCCTGCTTTGGCTCACGCACGGTGCGTGCACCCACTGACTTGCGCCCACTGTCTGGCACTCCCTAGGGAGATGAACCCGGTACCTCAGATGGAAATGCAGAAATCACCCGTCTTCTGCGTCGCTCACGCTGGGAGCTGTAGACCGGAGCTGTTCCTATTTGGCCATCTTGGCTCCTCCCGGGAATGATTCTTAAGAAAAACCAATGGATGGATTTATTTCAGTTTTAATTTGTCTCTTTTTTTTTGTTGTCAAATCTAAATTTTTTTCCCTTTTTTTCTTTCCTTTTTTTCCTCTTCTCTTTCTCCTTTCTCTTATGCTCTTTCAACACATTCTTTTCAACAGGTGGGGAGTTCACTTAGATATTCATCTCTGGGATTTATTTCTATGAAATGGTACTGAAAGAGTCTGGTTTTTCTTTTTCATATAGAATTTTTTGTGCAAATCCTCTTTATATATGATAATTCAATATAAAAGACAGTTGACATTTTTATTCCTTTCTGCATATCCATTTGCCTGGCCTGCTGATGTGTATAGAGTTTCTAACAGAAACATTCTGATACCTGGCCAGTTAGGACCTCTGGCTTCTGAGTTTCTCTAATCAGTCAATATTTTGATGTTCTTAGGAGCTCTGATGGTGGAACAGTGCTGAGCCAGTCTCTCATGAACAAAGTCTTGGTACGCAACTAAAAAATACTGTGCAAGGGACAAATACATTTTAAAATTGCCATAATTCTCTTTCTCTAACAAATTGACTTTTGCTGTTGCCAGGTTCCCATCCAGTCTTTGCTAAATATGCGCCTATCATTGCAATCGGGTTGTAGTCAACATGTAGATACATTTTTACATTCTGATTTTTCAACTTAACGTTCCATCTGTTATAAATACTTATTCTTACTGCCACATATTTAATTTTTCTAACAAGTATTGAACACCTAGTATGTGTCAAGCTACTGTGTTAGAAAAGGGAATGAGACAGTATGGTGGCCAGACAGCTGGAATCAATAGACCAGTCTTCAATTCTTGGCTATGCCATTTACTTACTTTGGGCTTTGAGCAAGTTACTTATTTGAACCTCAGTTTTCTCATCTGTTAAATTGAGAATAACAATAACATACATTATTAGAATTATAAAATTTTATTGCGCTATGGAGATAAAATGCAAAACGCGTAACATAGTGCTTGGCATATGATAATCATTAAGTAGTTCTGGTGAATAAGATGCTATTACTGGACTTGATGACATATCCGTGACCTTGAAGTTTAATAAAGGGTGATGTATATACATACACATCAATACATACACACAAGAAGAAATGACAGGAGCTGTTATAAATATCTGTACAGGGTTCATTGGAGGCCCCGAGTAAAGCTTGTTAGATTTCACCTGGAAATAGACGTGTAAAAAATCAAGAAAATATTTACAAATAGGCAACAATTAGGCTCAATTTTGAAGGCAAACTGGCACTTCTTGCACAGATAAGGCCCCACTAATTCTGAAGATGTATGTGCAAAGCCAAGCTAATATTTTTAGCTGAGTTTTAAAGACAAGAAGGATTTTACCAAGAGGAGATGAAGAAAGACTATTCTAGATAGAAGCTGCAAGACAAATGAAGACATTGAATTATGGATGTGTATGCAGGAAATGGGTGTGTTTATGATTTGTTTAGTGCAGTAGGAACAGAGGTCTCCAGGTGGGGCCACAGCAAAAAATGAGGTTGGAGAGGAAGGTAGGGAAGAGCCCACAGAGGCATTAGGAGCCAGAACGCTCTCATGCAGGTAGGAGGAATACCATGTTCATAAAACCCCTCTGGTGGTAGGGTGAAGCCTAGACTTGGGAGGAGAAAGCTGAAGACAAGAAACAAGTCCATTGCAGTGGTCCGCACCAGAGAGGGTAGTGCCTGAGCTAACTCTAGATAATATTCTACCATGTTAACGTTCCATATAACCTAAACATCTTGTTCAGGGACACTTAACTTTAAACTTTTGCTGTTCTGAATATTGTCATGGTTTGCATCTTTATATGTATAAAATATTTCAGATATTTTCTTTAAGATAAAAAGCATAAACATCTGCATGACTCTTGATAATTATAGGTAAATTTGTGTTAAATGGGATTTCCAAATTATATTTTCACCAGGGTACATTTGTGTGCAGGGTTTCATGACACCCTTGGAAACATTGGGTGCTGATATTCCTTTCTTTGTTGTCTTAGAGAGCATAAAACTGTTGTTTTAATTTGCCTTTCCTTGATATCTAGAAACATAATATGTTTTCCCCATTTGTCTTCTAATTATGTGTCCTCGCTTGTGAATTGCATGTCCTGTCCTTTGCCCATTTGATAAGCAATTGTGTTAAATCCCTTTTTGGCTGGCCTCTCTTCTGGCAACTCTCCACATACACATTTCCCCACAGGCTCTCTTTCTAATTTCTTTTCTCTTTGATCTATTGAAACCAAATCCTTTTTCTAACTCAATATTACAATAGACATAACAATTCTAATTGCTCTATTGATTCATGGCTACCATAGTCATGGGCACATTAGGAAGAACAGGGCTTTGCTATCAGGGACCAAGGTTTAAAAGCCTGACTTCATGCTATCTAGATGTGTGATTTGGTGCCTGTGTCTTAAGCGTGCTTAACCAGTTTGCTTTTTTTTAAATGAGAACATTAATATACGTCACTATCAATTAGAAACTGTACTTGACCATTAGTACAGAGATTCAAATATAGTGGCTTAAAAAATGTAGTAGGCTATGCTTTCATGTTAAATAGTTTTGGAGGTGAAGAGGCCAGGACTGATAGGGCAGTTCCATGAGGTCTTCCCCTGCCTTCAGCATGTTGGTGGGATTAGGATCGGTTTGGGGGAGAATGACAGAATTGTCCAGACTTATAAACAGCCTTATTCCTTAAGGACCAGGAAAGCAACTGGATAGTGTTGGATTGTGGCAAGGCTGAACGTCTTCACTTACTCATCAAATAAGTTTTTCTAAGTACATGTATACAGAGCTCCAAGATTTCCTGTAATGGAAAATATACATGCTAAGTCAAACAAGAAGACCCAGGTTATGAGAGTCAATTCCTAAACCATAGAAAGCTATGATCTCTTTGTTTAGAATGACCCAGGCTTAGAAGCTCTGGGTTCCAAGGTGACTCTGTAGCCATCGACCTAGTTGTTGAAGTATCCTTACAGTAAACTTTCATTCCAGAAAACACATCCCTGTAAATGTAGGCTCATAAATAGGCTGTCAGGGTTATTCAGAAGAAGAGACCATATCCTTATCATCAGATGCAGTCAGTTATGGATGTCTGCATTATGGTCTGTTGGTTAGAAGATCAACTTCCTGTTTGCGTAGTCTCATTATTTATATAGATGCTATGGAGCATCACAAGACCATGTCATGGACAGAGGGTCTCACAGACCCCCTGCTAGCTGAGAACACAGAATCCTCTTGTTCTCTTGATATGGCTTATTATTATCACGAGTAGAATCATCATAATTCTACTTCTGACAGAATGTATTCATTACAAATGAAATTTTTGTTCAGATCTCATAGTTCATGCCTGAAAGCAAAGATATTAGAATTAATGAGCATTTTTGCTGATGAGAAGAAAAATCACTGAAGGGTGATTGGACTTTAGCCTTTTAATGGGTCTAATATTCTTCTTTCATTAGGGCTGACAAGGGTATATCCAGCTCCCTTATGCTGTGTGCCACAGATTAGGAATGTACTTTATATAACATGAAGCCAGCTTTTCTTTCAAAGTAATATAGCCTAGTAATCATGAGCACATGCAAACAGAGCTCCATTGAAGGGGGAATCTGGGCAGAGGTAGGGGGACAATGTGAACCTTGTTAGCAGGTGGTAGAGGGCCTTGATGGGCTTATTAAATGGCAGTGTAATTTGATTCTACTTTTCCTTTCACACAGTAAGCAAGCAATAAGGATTTACAGAGCAGGCCTACTCAGACAATCGAGTAGTAACTCTGCAAGAACTGTCGAGTCCTGAAGACAACACAGGAATATTTTTTATTTATTTTTATTTTTATTTTTTGAGATGGAGTCTTGCTCCTTTGCCCAGGCTGGAGTGCAGTGGTGCTATCTTGGCTCACTGCAAGCTCCACCTCCTAGGTTCACGCCATTTTCCTGCCTCAGCCTCCTGAGTAGCTGGGACTACAGGCACCCACGACCACACCCGGCTAATTTTTTGTATTTTTAGTAGAGACGGAGTTTCACTGTGTTAGCCAGGATGGTCTCAATCTCCTGACCTCGTGATCCACCTGCCTTGGCCTCCCAAAGTGCTGGAATTACAGGCGTGAGCCACCATACCCAGCCAGGAATCTTGTTGATAGTGCAGGGAGTGTGAACTCTGAGACATTGTACTCAGGGTTCAAATGGATGTGGATGTGTACTGGAACGTACTATAACAAAGGACTTAAAGATTGACTCAAGGAAACATAATTAGAGGCCTTCAGGGCCTGTGAGCTTAAGCAATGTTATTAATGGGGTTTGGGAGAATTTTCAGACTGAGAACAGGCATTTATTTTTGATATCCTAAGGCCATGAAATTATAGAAACCAGAGAGGAGAACTGAGGTATCAGTTCTAGTGGCTGTGTCACCCTTGCATGGACTTTCCATTGAGGTGAACGGGATGTGGGGCCATGAGAGAATAGTTCAGGGTGTGGTGCCTGTTGGTTTAGCTAGCATATTTTTATAAGACAGCTGCAGACTCCATTGGTACCCTGATTGGCCTCTCTGAACTGTTTTTACTCCAGACACTTCTGACACCAAATGTGTGTGTGGTTTTTATCTGCACTAACCAATTCTCCAACTTTCTGGACACCAACTGGGTGTCCCACAATTCAATTCAATTCTAGACTACGCAGAGTTCAGGCAGAGCCCACGGGCTCAGTCCCATGAGACTGCTCCCACTTCACATGCCAGTTGCAAGTCTCAGATTGCCATCTGTACTTCTGACCAATCATGAATTAGGAGTTCCCATAGCACCCTTCTAATTTGCCAAAATAGCTCACAGAACTCAGGGAAACACTTCAGTTATGGAGATACCAATGAACAGGCAAATGAAGAGATACTTAGGGTGAAGGCTGGAAGGGTCCTGGGTGTAAGAGCTTCTGTCAGGTGAAGTTGGGATGTACTGCACTCCCAACGCGTGGATGTGTTCATCAATCTGGAAGCTCTCTTCACCCCATTGTTTAGGGATTTTTGTGAAGGTTTATTACATAGACATGATTGGTTAAATTATTGGCCATTGGTGATTGAACTCAATTTCCAGTCCCTCTCCCCTTCCCAAAAGCTGGGGTGTAGAGCAGGAAGTTCTAAGATTCTAGTCAAGACTTGGTTTTTTGGGGGTCCAATTCCCATCCTGAAGCTATATAGGTGCCCCCAGTCACCAATCATCCTACTGGTATACAAAAGATACTCATCATTCTGAAGATTCCAAGGGTTTTAGAATCCAGGAGCACACACAATTTTTTTTTAAATCATATCTCAGGCTTCTTGTCCAAGGGACCAGAGAAAGTGAGGCTGAAGAGGGGAGTCACATGGGAAAGACATTATCTGCATTGGGGTTAGGCTATAGGGCTGGGACTAAATTGTCACGCTTTTCCAAATACTAGCATGAACTTGAGAAGAGCTGGTGACCAACCTTTCCTTTCTTTCCCCTTCATTTTTCTTCCTTCTCTCTCTTTTTCTTTCTTTTCCTACATCTTTTTCCTCTATCTCCAGCTCCCTCATGTCTTCACTCTCTTTCACAATCAATATCTAGCAACTCCTACGTGCCAAGCATTTTCTCCAGTGATGTGATGGATATATAGGTCACCATGAACTCCATATCAAGGAGCTCACAATATTGGAAGAAATGGCATATAAGCAACTGTACATAATACATTGTGGGAAGGAATATTTAGAGATTTGTAACAGTACTGTGAGAACAAAGAGGAGAGAGCAATTAATTATGCCAGGATGTTCAGGTAAGTTACTGTCATAACGGACGTAACATTTTCAGCTTGATTGTGAAAGACGAGAAGGATATTCCCAAGTTGAGATAAAGGAAAGATATTCCAGGCAGAGGCTACAACACAAGTAAAGACACTGAGTTATGGATATTTACTCAGGAAATAGAGAACTGAGCGGCATGGTTATAGCATAAGGTACTAACTGGGAGCAATCATAATAGTCAGCATTAATCGAGCATTTATTATATGCCAAGAATTTGTTAAGCCATTTATGCATATTAATTTATTTAATCTTAAAAACAATCCTATAAGGTTGTTACTGAATATTATCTCCATTTTACAGAGGAAGACATAGAGGCTTACAGAGGTGAAGGATCTTCCCTAAGGTTGTAACTTTCTATAGCCTGGAGCCAGGATTAGAAAGCAAACAGACTGACTATGATTGACTAGAATGACAAAGAGTATAGGACTTAATATCTCAGCCCAAGGCTCATTCTTAATCTCTGTCCCTCCCAGAATATTCTGATGTGAGGTGTATAACATTCATGTGGGTACAGAAAGAATATTCTTAAATTTTCTATTCCTTTTTTGTTTTATCTTTTAAAATGATTATTTGTAATGTGTTTCATAATGTACCTGCCATGTTAATGCATTAGAACCTGTAAGTAATTTATAAATAATTAGGCATACCTATAACGGAGGTCTGAAACAATTTTTCCTGGAAGAACTGCAAATCAAACAGATTTAAGGACGATGTTCTAGGCCAGGAATTCTCAAGTGTGGTTTCCTGACCAGCAGCATCAGTTTCTAACCTGGAAACTGGTTAGAAATGCAAAATTTCAGGCCCCACAGCAGATGTACTGAATCAGATACTCTGGGGTTGGGGCCAAGCAGTTTGTGTTTTAATGAATCACCCAGGTGAGACCTAACAGTTTATGCAGTGCAACTTTTACGGTGAAAAGTGAAATGGTCAAATTTGAGTTCTAGAAAGATAATTCTAGTCGGATTGGAAAAAAATGAGATACTAGAAGTTGGGAGATTCTTTAAAAGGCCAGTCAAATGGTCAGTGCAAGAGCTGAGCAGAGTCTGAGTCAAGAGAAGTGGATTTCAGAAATATATGGGGGTGAGGGAGAGGAGGTTAAATCCAGATGTGACACCAAAGGGCCTCACGTGCAGAATTGCTGTGGCCATATGTACCTAGGGGTCAGTGTGAGTCAGCATTTATGATGGCAGGAACCTTTCATGAATGATCCCACTTAATTTGAAGTATGTGAACGATATTCAAGATTAGTAGGCAGCTGGAAATTTAGATTGTTAAGCTCAGAAGAGATGGGTTTGGAAATATATATTAGAGAGATAGTGGCACACATGTAACAATAGAAATATTGGGCATGATTAAAACGAGGAAGTTTTACCTTTTCTATAATGAAGTATGGAGCAGAAACGTCTGTGAAGAATGAGGGGGCCATGAGTGGGAAGAGGGTCTGAAGACACAGGCTGATATTCAGAGCAACTACAGGAATTGGGAAAGGGAAGCAAAATGGGAGAAAACTAATGTATCTGCCAGCTGACCTCTGAGACCACTTGGACACATGGCAGGTGCTCAACATGTACTGACTGGCAGGAAAGTCAGGTGAGCTAGAGCTGTACAATGGGATGAACATCAAGGATTTTTCACTTTTTTGGTGTCATGGACCCCCTTGGTTGTCCAAGCAGCCTATGAATACTTTCTCAGAATAATGTTTTTAAACATTTAAACTAAAACACATAGCATTAAAAAGCAAAACAATTATAGTAAAATATGGTTATCAACATATGAAAAGCAAATTTGTTTTATAGTAGGATATATATATGTGTATGTACACATAAATATGTTTTTTATTAATGTACTATATAGCAGCTGCATCAGTGGGATTAATAAACCTAATTTTAGCATTGTGATGAGCATAAATAATAATTTGAGATGTTTGCAACAGCTGTTATACGAACACATTGTTGATTTCTAGTGGTGGCAAAAATCACAGGTACCGTTAATAGTTTTTGGGTTTTTTGTCTGTATTTATAATTGAAATTCTAAATTCAATTAAACATTAAAAAATAAATAATTGTATTCCCATGAAAGTACATGGACCCCTGAATTTTATCCATGGACCCCTTGAGAGTACATAAACTGCAAGCTAAGAACTTCTATGCCAAATGAATAGACAGAAGTCCATGCATTTGCTCTTGTATATACATAGTCACCAACTTGTTTGCAGATAGGAATTAATCTTCTAGACCAATTTTCATATGTCTTGTTCAATGGAAATTTTTGTTTGAAGGACTGAGATATTTTAGATTTAAGGTAACTTGGGTGGATTTCACTAACCCTTCTGGAGTCATTGAGGAGAAATCACCTTGTCTCTCTATAAAAACATTAACCTTGTTAGCTTATCTTCAGCCAGAATGGTGGTTTGTATGTACTGGCAACAGTTCCCCAGCTTTTTAACTCTGGTTCAGGTGTTTAAGTTAGAAGTGACTTAATTTTGTAATGCTTACTACCTTTAGATGATTTTATAAGAAAGATTGTGGCAATTGCAAAGTGTTGTTTTGCCAATTTTGTTAAAATTGGAAGAAAACTCAGGGGTCTGATTCAAATCTCACATTTTGTCAGTGAGGAAACTGAGACCCAGAAGGAGGAAGAGACCTCATTCTGGTTATTTACTGCTGCATCACAAATTTTCCCAAATACTTAGTGGCTTACATAAAAAAGTTACTTTAATATTCTCACAATTTTATGGGGGTGAGATTCAGGCAGGGCCTACCTGGGCAATTCTACTGTACATGGCATTGGTTGAGGTCACTTTTAATATTTGACAGGTGGGTGGGCTGGTTCAGAGAGAGGGTTCAAGAGAGCTTCGTACCGTGTCTGACCCTTGATGTGGGCAGCTGGAGGGCTGAGCTATGCTGAAACTGTCGACTGGAGTCCTCCTGCATAGTGGCTCACGCTCCTGGAAAATGTTTCCAGAGGCCCAGGTGAAAGCATCTTAAAAGTCCCAGAATGTCAATTCCATTGCGTTTCATTGGTCATACAAGTTCACAAGGCCAACTCCGATTAGAGGGGAGGAGTATATTGGGCTCCTCCTTTCCAGGGAAGCAGTGCCACAGGAATTGTGACCATCTTTCACCCATCACAGTCCACCTTTTGGCCACAAACTTTATATTTCTTCCACACACACATACATTCACTGCCTTTCAAGACTCAAAATTCTAATCCTATTCTAGCATTAAGCTTAAACTAAGGCCCCCAGTTTCTGTTAATCTAAGCATGTAAGCTAAAGAGGCTCCCCAGGTATGATTCTTTGAGTATGGTTCCTCTTGGTCTGAAGATATATAAAATAAAGAGACATGTTATCTTCCTCCTACACAGCCAAAATACAATGGTGATGCATGGATGGGACAAACATAATAGACATTCCCACTTAAAAAGGTGATAGTAGGAGACACTTAGCAGTCACAGGTCCAGGCCAATTCAGAAATCCAGCCAGTGCTGAAATACAATTGAGCATATGTTGTCACTTCTTAGTTAGGCCTCTTCTTCTGCTATGGGAACGATTCTCCATGGTTTCTATCTCTGCTCTTTGGGCTCTTGGTTCTACCCTGTGGGTCATCTTTTCATTCACAAAAGAAATAGCCAATGTTTGCGGCCGAGTAGCTTTCTCAGTAGGCTTCCTGCCCTAAGTAAGTTGTGTGTATCCCAAGAGTTGTTCTGGGTTGGCATGCTTCTCTGATGCTCTTGATATGCTGGTAACACACGTAGGCATACTATATAAATATAGCACTTTTTCTGCTTATTTGTCCTCACTGAGGGACAAGGTGCTCAATTATGACTTATCTTTAATGCACTAAAGTCAAGCTCTGCCAAACCTGTCTTTCTGATGAACAAGCAAGTCTCCTGCATCCACATCTTCCTAACTATAACCAGTAAGGACCTATATTCCTAGTCTCTAGAAATAGAGTTTCTAATTGAGGGGATAACAAGGAATCGACATGAATGGAGTCCAGTATTAAGTCCTACTTTTTAAAAAATTTTTAATTTTTGTGGGTACATAGTAGGTGTATATATTTATGGCACATATGAGATGTTTTGATATAGGCATGCAGTGTGTAATAATCACATCATGGAGAACAGGACATTCATTCCCCTCAAGCATTTATCCTTTGTGTTACAATCCAATTATATATTTTAGTTATTTTAAAATGTACAATTAAGTTATTGATTATAGTCATTCTGTTGTGCTGTCAAATAGCAGGTCTTATTCTTTGTAACATTTCTTTGTACCCTTTAATCATGCTCCTTTTCCCCATCCCCTACTGCCACACTTCCCAGCCTCTGGTAACCATCCTTCTACTCTGTATGTCCATGAATCCAACTGTTTCTATTTTTAGATCCCAAAAATGAGGACATGTGACATTTGTCTTTCTGTGTCTGGCTTATTTCACTTAACATAATAATCTCCACTTCCATCCATGTTGTTGCAAATGACAGTATCTCATTCTTTTTATGGCTGAATAATACTCATTGTGTATAAATACCAAATTTTCTTTATCAATTCATCTGTTGATGGATATTTAGGTTGCTTCCAAATTTTGGCTGTTGTGAACAGTGCCTCAACAAACACGGAATATCTCTTTGATATACTGATTTCCTTTCTTTTGGGTATATACCCAGCAGTGGGATTCCTGGATCATATGGCAGCTCTATGTATTAGTCAGGGTTCTCTAGAGGAACAGAACTAATAGGGGGACAGAACTAACGTATTTATATAAAGGGGAGTTTATTAAGTATTAACTCACACAATCACAAGGTCCCACAATAGGCCGTCTGTAAGCCGAGAGGCAAGGAAAGCCAGACTGAGTCTAAAACTGAAGAACTTGGAGTCTGATGTTCAAGGGCAGGAAGGGTCCAACGTGGGAGAAAGATGTAGGCTGGGAGGCTAGGCCAGTTTATTTTTTTCACGTTTTTCTGCCTGCTTTATATTCTAGCCATGCTGGCAGCTGATTAGATTGTGCCCACCCAGATTAAGGATGGGTCTGCCTTTCCCAGCCCACTGACTCCTATGTTAATTTCCTTTGGCAACACTTTCACAGACACACCCAGGATCAATACGTTGCATCCTTCAATCAAGTTGACACTTAGTATTAACCATCACACTCTACTTTTAGTTTTTTTGAGGTACCTCCAAACTGTTCTCCATAGTGGTTGTACTAATTCACATTCCCATCCACAGCATATGAGGGTTTGCTTTTCTCCATCTTGTCCCCAGCATTTGTTACTGCCTGTCTTTTGGATATAAGCCATTTTAACTGGGTGAGATGACACTATATCCCATTGTAGTTTTGATTTGCATTTCTCTGATGATCAGTGATACTGAGCACCTTTTAATGTGCCTGTTTGCCATTTGTATGTCTTCTTTTGAAAAATGTTTATTCAAATCTTTTGCCCATTTTTTGATCAATTACTAGATTTTTTTCCTGTACAGTTGTTTGAGCTTCTTATATATTCTGTTTAATAATGCCTTGTCAGATGGGTAGTTTGAAAATATTTTCTCCCATTCTGTGGGTTGTCTTTTGACTTTATCAATTGATTACTTTCCCTTGCTGTGCAGGACCTTTTAAACTTAATGTTAATTTTGTTCATTTTTGCTTTGGTTGCCTGTGCTTGTGGGGTATTAGTTAAGAAATTTTTGCTGTGACCAATATCATGGGGATTTTCCCCAAAGTTCTCTTGCAGTAGTTTCAGAGTTTGAGGTCTTAGATTTAAATATTTAATCTATTTTGATTTGATTTTTGTACGTGGCAAGAGATAGGGGTCTAGTTTCATTTTTCTGCATGTGGATATCCAGTTTTCCCAGCACCATTTATTGAAGAGAATGTCTTTTTCCCAATATATGCTCTTGGCACTTTTGCCAAAAATAAGTTCACTGTAGGTGTGCAAATTTGTCTCTGGGTTCTCTATTCTATTCCACTGATCTATGTGTGTCTGTTTTTATGTCAGTACCATCCTGTTTTGGTTACTATTGCTTTGCAGTATAATTTGAAGTCAGGTAATGTGATTCGTCCAGTTTTGTTCTTTTTGCTTAGGATAGCTTTGGCTATCCTGGGTCTTTTGTGAATTCATATAAGTTTTAGGATTGTTTCTATTTCTGTGAAGAATGTCATTGGTACTTTGATAGGGATTGTATTGAACCTGTAGACGGCTACTTTGGGTAGTACAGACATTTTAACAATACTGATTCTTCCAATCCATGAACATGGAATATTTTTTTGTGTCCTCTTCAATTTCTTTTTCATCAGTGTCTTACAGTTTTTATTACAGAGATTGTTCACTTCTTTGGTTAATTTCTAGGTATTTAATTTTATGTGTGGCTATTGTAAATGGGATTACTTTTTTGATTTCTTTTTCAGATTTTTCCCTGCTGGCATATAGAAATGCTACTGATTTTTGTATGTTGATTTTGTATCCTGCAACTTTACTGGATTTATCAGTTCTAAAAGTTTATCTGTGGAGTCTTCATATTTTTCCAAATATGAGATCATATCATGTGCAAACAGGATAATTTGACTTCTTCCTTTCAAATTTGGATGCCTTTTTTTTTCTCTTGTTTGATTGCTCTAGCTAGAATTTCTAGTATTATGTTGAATAACAGTGGTGAAAAAAATGGGCATCCTTGTCATTTTTCAGATCTCAGTGGAAAGGATTTCAGTTTTTCCCCATTCAGTATGATACTAGGTGTAGATATGTCATATATGGCTTTTATTATGTTGAGGTATATTCCTCCTATACCTAGTCTCAGAGTCATTCGAAAGACCCTCATCATAGTACCTTGGATATTATTGCTGGTTATTCAGGGCCCAAGGGCTCTTTAGTTAGCAGGTGATTAATGCTGCCAGGACTGGGTCCTTCCCTTCAAGGCAGCGGGTTCCCTTCTGGCCCGTGGTGTGTCTAGAAATGTCCAGGAGCTAGAGCCAGGAATGGGGGTCTCAACACTCTGACCAGTGCCCTACCCTGCTGTGGCTGAGCTGGTATCCAAGACACAAGACAAACTCCTCCCCACTCTTTCCTCTGCTCTTCTCAAGCAGAAAGAAGGGCTCTCTTTTGGAGCAGTGAGCTTTGCTCCCTGGGGCTAGGGGAGGGGTGATGCCAGCACTCCTTTAGCTGTCCCAGCGGGTATCTTCAGCAGGTTGCATTCCCCTGCCCCCCCCCCACCCCCCCCACAGTCTACTGGCTCTGGGCTCAGTTCAACAGTAGAACTCCTCTAGAAGTTACAGATCCTGTGGCCTAAACTACATTTCAAGTTTATTTAGAGCCCCTGAGTACTTTAGACCCCAGTGGCAAGGTTTGCCAGAACTCAAGTTCTGACCTCTGGGATCCAGGATTCCCTTCTGGCTAGGGCTGATTTAAATGTTCCCTCCATGGGCAGGAGTCAGCTGAATTTGGTCCAGTTTTTCTTTCTGCTATAACGGGACAGCACTGAGTTAAATGCCTCACCATCGCTGTGTTCTCCCTCCCCCAGTGCACAGAGATGCTCTCTGCACCAGGCAGCGGCTACCCGGGGTCGGGGAGGGGTGGTGTTTGCAATTCAAGACTGCTTTTCCTACCTCTTGAGTAACTCTTTCAGGAATACAAAGTTGCTAGAACCAGGTACTGTGAGTGCTCACCTGATTTTTGGTTCTTAAGAGCGTGTTTTTAAAAAAATATATGTAGATAGTTGTTAAACTGGTGTCTGTCAGGCCTCTGAGCCCAAGTAAGCCATCATATCCCCTGTGACCTGCATTTACACATCCAGATGGCCGGTTCCTGCCTTAACTGTTGGCATTCCACCACAAAATAAATGAAAATGGCCCGTTCCTGACTTAACTGATGGCATTGTCTTGTGAAATTCCTTCTCCTGGCTCATGCTGGCTTAAAAGCTCCCCTACTGAGCACCTTGTGACCCCCCCTCCTGCCTGCCAGAGAACAACCCCCCTTTTTCCTTTACCTACCCAAATCCTATCAAATGGCCCCACCCCTATCTCCCTTTGCTGACTCTTTTTGGACTCAGCCTGCCTGCACCCAGGTGATTAAAAGCTTTTATTGCTCACACAAAGCCTGTTTGGTGGTCTCTTCACAGGGACGCGTGTGAAAGTGTCTTTGTAAGGGAGGATGATGGGTGGAGGCTTCTCTTCAGCTATCTTGCTCTGCTTTCTTAATTCCTATTCTGACCTTGTACTGAGATTTATAGAACTCTTAAGCCTTTCCCTATTCAATTGACCAAGTCTATAACCTTGCTCTCAGCATTTGCATTGGGTCTCACTTTGGTTCATTTTGCCTCTGTCCATTTTTATGTAATCGAGGTCCATCTTGCTCACATTCCATCAGATGAAACAAGATTATTTTAAAATAGTGATAAAAGCACATGGAAAAATATTTCAGTGGGAAGGATTAATGTGAATTCTGGGGAAAAATCTGTTTGTTTCTTTGCAAATAACACAGTGAGCAGAGGAAAAATGTATTAGAAGTATAAAAAAAGGACACAGGACATTATCTTAAGCAAAATGGACATGAAAAACAAACTACAAAGCAAATACTGTGCACAATTATTGACCACAAAGGAGAGAGGCTGAGGTTTGGAAAACAAATATTTTTCAACGCAGACATATACAGAGCCAGAAGGCATTTTAATGTTTTGTGTTTTCATATCATCTATGCCAAGAGAATTTATGATCAGAACATTTCTTCATGATTTTTGGAATTAATAATACAAAAAAGGAGCTTGACATATTAAATGAGGATTCTGTTTTCTACAATGGATTCAGCAATAGACACCCCATAATGTCTCAACCAGCAGTAAGGAAATAGAGGGTCAGCAGGCTCTACATTTAGGTTTCTAGCTCTTTCTAAGGAACCAACATATAACATCCTATGGGTCTGAATAAGCATATCCATATATCCCCATTTAAGGGTTCAAGTTCCACAAACTGATGCACAAGCCATTTATAATAATTCTAGCTCTTCCTCAAAGTAGACTAATTTTTTTCCTTGGGGAAATGATTTTCTGAGGCCATAACTAGACTATCATATTGAAGGAAAAAGACTGTATACATACTAGACTGGTAATACAAAGAGAGTGTCTGCAGTTTTGGGTTTTGACCCAAACATACAGAAAATAGCTTCAACTGACAAGATTACTTCAATGTTTACTTAGAATGTTGAGCTTGGACTTACAAGTGTGTAAGATTGTTCCATAAAGTCACAGAATGCTAGAAGGCCTCTCACTACACTGGTGACAACATGGGATTCAGGGAGGTCAAGAGACTGCTCCAAAGTCGCAGAGCCAGACAGTGTTAGAGCTGAAGCAAAATCCATTCTCCTCATTCCCCAATTTGCATTCTTAAATTTGGACCCCCCATATGCATACAAAACAGAGTTTCTGTATTCTCTGTTTTAAATTCTGATGTGACTCTTGAATCCTTAAAAAAAAACAACAACAAACTTTGCTTTTTATTTATATGGCCTCGCTTTTCACTACTGGTCATCTATTCATTTGTTCATTCAATCAGCAAATATTTGAGTGGCTACTCTGTGGTGGGCATATTCTATACCCTGGGTGATAAAGCATGTATGGCCCTTATATTTCCACAGGAGGAGATAGACACCAAAGAAAGAAGTAAATGATTTAGTGCAGAGTAGATTAGCTGGTGGCAAGTGCTAAGGAGAACTGCAAAACAAGGGAAAGAAACAAAGAGTGCCACAGGAGTAACTATCCCACATAGAATGGTGAGAAGAATGACTTCTCTAATATATGGTGACACTGGAACAAAGATGAGGGAAGTAAGAAGCCAGGCAGTTAGGCTTCCCTGAGCACACCGTCTGATGTGGTTGGCTGTGTCCCTGCCCAAATCTCATCTTGAATTGTAGTTCCCGTAATCCCCATGTATTGTGGTAGGAACCTGCTGGGAAGTAATTGCATCATGGGGGTGGTTACCTCCATGCTGTTCTTGTGATAGTGAGTGAGTTCTCATGAGATCTGATAGTTTTATCGGGGGGTTTTTTCCCATGTTCAATCTGCACTTCTCCTTGCTGCCACCGTGTGAAGAAGGACATATTGGCTTTCCCTTTCACCATGATTGTAAGTTCCATGAGGCCTCCCTAGCCATGCGGAACTGTGAGTCAATTAAAGTTCTTTCCTTTATAAATTACCCAGTCTCAGGTATGTCCTAATAGCAGAGGGAGAATGGACTAATACACCACTCATGCAATTGCACAGGACCCCACACTTGGTTTAATGCTCTGCTGTTGCCATCTTGTGATTCTTACCAATTTGTAGTGAAAAGCATTTTTCATTTTACACTGAGCATGAAACATTATGTAGCTGGTCCTGGGCCAGGAATGTGTTATCCAGGGAAAAGCATTCCAGGCGGAAGACACTAGTAAGAGCATAAGGCCTGAAATGAACAAGAAAGAGGAAGGGGACCAGTCAACTGGAGTGGGCAGGCAAGAGAACAGAGTGATGGGAGAGGACGTGGCAGGGGGCGTTGAGATTGGGCCCTTGGGAGGACTGTGGCTTTCACTCCGAGCGAGATGGCAAAGCCATTGACTAGAGGGGTGACACAATTTGATTTTCATTTAAAAATAATTATTGTAGGTTTGTGCTGACTCATTATCACAAGAGTTCAATGTGAGATTTACCTATTTCCCAAAATAAGCTAATAGCAATTTTGCCATAATTAGCTACACAACTTAGAAAAAAGACTTTTTAACATTAAAAAGAGTTTACTTAAAAATATTAAGCAAATGTATTAAAAACTTTGTGATAGTGGCATATTATCCACTCTCTGTGCTTATACAGACTAAACCTTTTTTCTTTAAAAGTATTCCTTTATTAGTTTCAATATTTAGAACCACATAGATAAAATGCTTAACCACAAATATTCCTGTTCACAGAAATATTGTTTTTTAAAATCTAGTTTTACTAGAAAAAGCACACATGTATATCCTCGAGAATGTTGAATCTTCTGCTATACTTCAATTTTCACTTTTGAGAGAGAGAGGGGGAAAAATCATGCTTCATTATTAAATAACACCACTATTTCATGAAAGAAGACGTTTCTGCCAAATGTCCAAAGGAAGGAATCTCAATTACGTTGCTGGTTAGGGCATTTCTTTTTGAAAAAATTTAAAAAATATATAAGTTTTTGAAATAAAATCCTAGTACTATCCAGTGTTATATATATGGAATTTTAAAAAAGAAATTTGATAGAATGAAAAGCAAGTTTGAAGTTGCTAAAGAATATTCTAGAGAAAAATAGGAATGCACCGAGTACTTAACATATAAGAGTTTTTGTGTTTGTAGTTACAGAAATACCTTTGTAATGTGGGGTCCAAGTAAGTTCATCAAAGTTGATGGGAGGCTATTAGAAGCAGAAAATGTTTCTTTAGTGATGTTCTATGCAAGTATAATCCTTCCAGTACTTTGCAAGTACTTTTGAATCTTTTATTTAATGTTATCCTCATTATTCCTGAGATGGGTAAAGCAGGTTTTATTTATAAAGTGTAGATAAGAGCTGGGTGTGGTGGCTCATGCCTGCATTCCCAGCTACTTCAGAGGCTGAGGCAGGAGGATCTCTTGATCTCAGGTCAAGGATGCAGTGAGTTATGATCACACTATTGCACTCCAGCATGGGCAACAGAGAGAAACCCTATCTTTAAATAAATAAATAAATAAAAATAAAATGTAGGTTAAGGAATGGAAGTCTAGTGAATTTAAATCATTAGCTGAATTTAAATCATTAGCTGAAGGTTAAAGGCAAAACAAGAATCTAGACATCTTGACTCTCAGTTTGATGTTCTTTCCATGTCTTCTTATTTGCTTCCTTCATGTTAAAGAGATTCAGTAGCCACTGGATGTGCTAGTGAAACAGACCAAACCATTCCTGCTGAACATGGTCAGTTGAGGTGTCACTAGGAGTAAAAAAAAGATAGGGGCAAAAAACAAAAACACAAAAATGCATACTGTTAAAAATGATTATAAATTAGAATTTTTCACAATTGAAAACTTCTGTTTTGCAAAAAAGTACTGTTAAGAAAATGAAAAGACAAGCCACAGACTGAAAGAAAACATTGGCAAAATATTAAGGACTTGTATTTGGAATATATAAACTCAACTCAAAACTCAATAATAAGAAAACAACTAATCCAATTAACTATGAAAAAATATTTGAACAGGCACTTCATCAAAAAATATGGATGGCCAATAAGCCCATGAAAGTTTACTCAGCTTAATTAGTCATAAAAAATGCAGATTAAAATCACAATGGGATACACACCAAATAAATAGGCTAAAATAAAAACAGCAGACAATGCCAAGTGCTGATGAGAATGTAGAGCAACTGGAATGCTCATGGATTGCAATAGGATGAAAATAAAACATGTTCAGCCATTTTGGAAAGCAATTTGTCAGTTTTATTTGTCCACAAGAGATAAAAACTTGTACATGAATGTATATAGCAACTTTATCCATGATTGGTCTGACCTGAAGATGATGCAAATGTACTTAAAGTAAAATAAATAGACAAATTGTGGTATATACATGCAAAGGAATACTATTTACCAATATTTAGCAAAATAAAGGAACACCCTGTATGAAACTCAAATGCATTCTGCTAATTGAAAGAGGCTGACTCAAAAGGCTGTATACTGCATAATTTCATTTCTGTGATATTCTAGAAAAGGCCAAAACAGATCAGTAGTTGATAGGGGCTGAAGATGGGGAGAGGTTGACTATAAAGGAGTATGGGAATATGTTTGAAGGTAATGAAACTGTTCTACATCTTGATTCTGGAAGCTGGTACATTATTTATGATCTTATTTTCAAACTCATAGAAATGCACTTCAAAAATGGTTGATGTTATATGTAAATTGTGCTTCATTTTTTAAAAATAATACAGGTACATAAAATCTAGTTGAAACTAAAAGGCATGATACCTAATTGATATAAAATTTCCAGACAATAAGAAAAACATAAATTGTGCAGAGCATCTCATATTTGATAGTAGAATTAAATTAGTAATTGAAATTTCCAAGCACTATTTCTGAAAGTAAAAATTTGAAGACGGTTGGGATAGAGCCCATATTCAATTTTAAAAGCTATATATTAAAGCTAATCATAGCAATAAAATAGAGTCATAAGTGGTCTAAATAGCTATTATCATTTTTAACATGAAATAATGTACTGAGAAAGCCTTTACTTACAAATTTATTTAGCTATATAGAAATAATCTGAATAATCAAGCCTTCAGAATGTAAACCTCAAAATTTTTACTCAGCAAAAGCAAATAAAGGATTAAAAAAATTACCTTAGGGCCACTCTTCAATTGGTCAAAAATTATTGATATTCTCTGAACCCTTGGGAATCATGTCAACTCTAGGCCTTAGTATTGCATGTGAATATTGCTTATTTACCTTAAGTATTTTATAATCCAGTATTTAATAAGGTGCCAACATGGCAGTTTTGCCTTGCAGACTCCATCAGTCTTTTTCATATTTCAACTGTAGGTAGCTTTCATGATTCAGTTGTCCAAATGGAAAAACCTTGTTGTTTTGTGTAATTTACTTCCCTGTCTTGGTCTTTGATGCAGTCTCTGTTCTCTGGTTGAAAATACAAAGAACCTCAGGTTTAATAAATAAAGTTATGCCTTCCAGAAGGTAAAAAAGCAGTGTTTTGTATTCAGGCAATCAGATTTTAAAAATAAAAATGAGAGAATCAAAGAAGTCAAAATGAAAGCAACCTTGAAGTACCTTTTTTTCAAATCTACTAAAATAATAACAGCAAACAAACAACACTTGTTTTCAGTCCCGCTGATGATATATAAAAATAGTGCACCCATTTTTGCTTAAATGGCCTTATAAATTCCTAAAATTAGTTGGGATAACAAAATGGAAGTACATTGTGAGATCTTACAAAAGGTACATTTTGATTAAATAATTCTCCATTTGAGAATTTATCCAAAGGAAATAATTTGATGGGAACAAAATG